>NC_000004.12:118618350-118769865 GCF_000001405.40 Homo sapiens
AGATACTCCAGGATAATCTTGTTTTAAGGTCAGCTGATGAGCAACATTAATTTTATCTGCACTCTTAATTCCCCCTTCCTATGTAATTGTGCTGTGTAACATAGGACATGAGCAATTGGTGGCGGTGGGGGTTATTACTTTGGCCACCACAGTAACTATTTTATGCCAGGTACTCAGCTAAGCACTGGTGAATTAAGCATGAATAACACACACTCCCTAATCTCCATCCATTCATGGGAGGAGCACCTCACCTGCCATGCTCCTGAGAATCTCGGGAGTCAGAGAAGTCTTCTATGAGGAGGTGATGCCAAAGCGGACAAGTGACAGAGGAGTCGAAGCTAGCTAGGAAGAGAGTAGAGGTTTAAGGGGAAGCATAGTATAAGCAGAGGATATTACCCACTTCAGAGACTCCCAGAGGAGAAAGAGTGTGCGTTGAAGGGGCAGATGAGGCTCAGTTGGACTCCATAGCAGATGAAATGGAGAGGGGCAAGCAGTGAGGCTGCCTTGCAAGGCAGGGCAGAGCAGGGGCTGTTAAGGAGTTTGGACTTAATCCCTGAGGCAAGGAGAAGTGATGTAAATGGGGGAGTAACATGATGAGATTCATGGATTAGAGACATGGCTCAGGCTGCTGTAGAGAAGGCGCCAGGGAGAGCAGATGGCTCAATGGGTGTGCAGGAGACCTCTCACTGAGTTTAGGGAGAGGTTTTTAAAACAGAAGAAGTTTGAGTAATTTAAATGATGATGGGAAGGAGCTAAAAGTGGGGGATAGGTTAAAGATACAGGAAAGTGGGAGGAAGAACTGACAAGTGAGGTTCCAGAGAGGGCAGGAGAAGAGGAGATTCCCATAGGGGGATTAACACTTTCTTTTCTTTTTTCTTTCTAAGACAGGGTCTCACTCTGTCGCCCAGGCTGGAGTACAGTGGCACAATCTTGGCTCACTGTAGTGTAGACTTCCCAGGCTCAAGGGATTTCTCCCACCCCAGACTCCCAAGTAGCTGGAACTACGGGTGTGCACCACCACCACACCTGGCTAATGTTTCTTTTTTTGGTAGACACAGAGTCTCACTATTTAGCACTGATTGGTCTCCAACTCCTGACCTCAAGCGATCCTCCTGCCTAGGCTTCCCAAATTGCTGGGATTACAGGCATGAGCCACAATGCCTGGCCTCTGCTAGTTCCGTACTCTCTAGAGTTGTCTTTACTTTGTGCTAGCGTGTCCCTCATTGTGCTGATCCTCTGTAAAAATTAATACCTTTTTTTTTTTTTCGAGACAGAGTTTCACTCTTGTTGCCCAGGCTGGAGTGCAATGGCGCTATCTCGGCTCAGCGCAACCTCCACCTGCCGGGTTCAAGCAATTCTCCTGCCTCAGCCTCCCGAGTAGTTGGGATTACAGGCATGTGCCACCATGCCCAGCTAATTTTGTATTTTTAGTAGAGATGGGGTTTCTCCATGCTGGTCAGGCTGGTCTCGAACTCCTGACCTGAGGTGATCTGTCTGCCTTGGCCTCCCAAAGTGCTGGGATTACAGGCATGAGCCATTGTGCCTGGCCAAAATTAATACTTTTTATATTAAATTTACATATATATATGTTTTTTCTTTTTGATACCGGGTCTCACACTGTCACCCAGGCTGGAGTACAGTGGCACAACCTCTGCTCACTGCAGCCTCCACCTGCCAGGCTCAAGCAATTCTCCTGCCTCAGCCTCCCGAGTAGCTGGGATTACAGGTAAGTGCCACCACACCCAGCTGATTTTTGTGTTTTTTGTAGAGACGAGGTTTCACCATGTTTCCCAGACTGTTCTCAAACTCCTGAGCTCAAAGCAGTCCACCCACCTTGGCCTCCCAAAGTGCTGGGATTACAGGTGTGAGCCATCTTGCTCATTCTAGTTTAAACTTTTGAGTGGTTTGTGTCTCCTGATTGGACTCCTACAAATACAGAATTGATGCTAGGAAGGGTACCAGGAGATAGATGCACACAGATGGGATTTGGGAATAGGTTTGGTTATCCAAGGAGCAGTGCTGAGCTCCTTGCTAATGGGATATGGGATGCTGGTGATTTCCAGGAAGTGACCTCACAATGACTCAAGCTACCACATACTGTTGATTGTGAAATGCCAGTTGAAGCATATGTCCTGCGAGCTTAGGGGTGCTACAAGTTGACCACTGCAGCAGTAAAGATGACTCTGAAGAATGGCATGGGATGGATCCTTTCGAATGCACTTGAGCAGCAGTCTCCAACCACAGGGCCACAGAGCTGGAGGTGAGCAGCAGGCGAGTGAAGGGAAACTTCATCTGTATTTCTAGCCCCTCCCATCGCTTGCATGACCACCTGAGCTCCATGTCCTGTCAGATCAGCAGCAGCATTAGATTCTCATAGGAGCACAAACTCTGTTGTGAAATGTGCATGCGAGGGATCTAGGTTGTGTACTCCTTATGAGAATCTAATGCCTGATATTCTGTTACTGTCTCCCATCACCCCAGATGGACAGTCTAGTTGCAGGAAAACAAGCTCAGAGATCCCACTGAGTCTACGTTATAGTGAGTTGTAGAATCATTTCATTATATATTACTATGTAGTAATAATAGAAATAAAGTGCACAATATATGTAATGCACTTGAATCATCCTGAAATTATTCCCTCACTCCCAGTCTGTGGAAAAATTGTCTTCCACACACTCACTCTGTTTTTTGGTAGAGGCAGGGTCTTAATATATTGCCCAGGCTGATCTCAAACTCCTGGTCTCAAGTAATATACCTCTCTCAGCCTCCCAAAGTGCTGAGATTACAGGCATAGGTCACCACCCTCAACCAAGACTTTCTTAAACCAGATAAAAATTAAGTGAGATTACTTGAGCCCAGGTGGTCAAGGCTGCAGTGAGCCTGATTGCACCACAACTCCAGCCTAGGTGACAGAATGAGACTGTCTCAAAAAATAAAATAAAATAAAATACAAATTAACCCTTTATGACATTCCCAGTAACTTTCCCTCCTAAGTGTTCCCCACAAGTCTTTGAATTCTGTTTAATTTTCACATAACATTTAAGACATGTAAGAACTTATGTCTGTCTGTGTCATCCCTTTATGTCAAAAGATGTCTTTTTGTCACTTCCAGCTGGATCTACCATGAAAGACTTCTGAATCCAGGAAGAGAGACTGACTGGGCAACATGTTATTCAGGTACAAAAAGATTTGGACTGTAACTTAAAAATGATCAAATAATAGTGCATGCATCTAGTGCATGCATCAAGTGCAATGGGAAGCTCTTCTGGAGAGTGAGAGAAGCTTCCAGTTAAGGTGACATTGAAGCCAAGTCCTGAAAGATGAGGAAGAGTTGTATGAGAGTGGGGAGGGAAGGGGGAGGTGGAGGGATGGGGAATGGGCTGGGATGGGATAGCGCAAACTGCCCGGGAAGGGAAACCAGCACTGTACAGACCTGAACCACAAAGATGGCATATTTTGTTCAGGGAATGGTGAATTAAGTGTGGCAGGAATGCTTTGTAGACACAGTAATTTGCTTGTATGGAATTTTGCCTGAGAGACCTCATTGCAGTTTCTGATTTTTTGATGTCATCATCCATCACTGTCCTTGTCAAATAGTTTGGAATAGGTATAATGATCACAATAACCCCAAGCATAATATTTCGTTAATTCTCACAGAATCACAGGTAGGTGCCACAGTTATCCCCATTTTATGAATGGAGTGATGAAGCCTTAGGAATAATGAATGATTTGCCCAAGCTCGCCTGGATATTAAGACTGAGTCAAATGTTGGGTTTGGTCTGATTTTAATGTTTGCTTTGTTCATGAGCACCACATATTGCCTCTCCTATGCAGTTAAGCAGGTAAGTGACAGAAAAGCCCATGTTTGTCTCTACTCACACACTTCCGACTGAATGTATGTATGGAGTTTCTACACCAAATTCTTCAGTGCTCTGGATATTAACTGGGTATCCCATGACTTTATTCTGACACTACCTGGAGTTAGCACAGACCCCACAAGTTAGGGGCTCAGTCCCACGAGGCCATCCTCACTTCAGATGCCAATGGCAAGTCCTAAGTTGTCACCGTACTTTTGACCAACCTGTTACCAATCGGGGGTTCCCATAACTGTCTTCTTGGGTTTAATAATTTGCTAGAACAGTTTACGGAACTCAGAAAAACAGTTTATTTTCTTTTTTTCTGAGAGGGTCTTATTTTGTTGCCCAGGCTGGTGTGCAATGGTGCAGTCATAGCTCATTGCAGCCTTGATTGTCTGGGCTCCAGTGGTTCTCCCACCTCAGCCTCCCTAGTAGACATGCCTGCACCACCACATCTGGCTAGTTTCTTTTATTTTTTGTATAGATGGGTCTTGTTGTGTTGGCCAGGCTGGCCACAAATTCCTGGTCTCAAGTGATCCTCCCACCTCAGCCTCTGAAAGTGCTGGGATTACAGATGTGAGCCACCACATCTGGCCAGTTCATTTCCTATTACTGGTTCATTGTGAAGGATACATCTCAGAAACAGTCAATGAAAGAGACGTGCATGCTGGATGCAGTGGCTCATGCCTGTAATCTCAGCACTTTGGGAGGCCAAGGTGGGAGGATCGCTTAAACTCAAGAGTTTGAGACCAGCCTGGGCAACATGGTGAAAACCTGTCTCTATAAAAAATTTAAAAATAATAATAATAACCGGTGTGGTGCTGTGCACCTAGAGTTCCAACTACTAGGGAAGCTGAGTTGAGAGGATACCTTGAGCTGGGGACTGGGGAGGCTTAGGTTACAGTAAGCTGAGATTGTGCCACTGCACTCTAGCTTGGACAAAAGAGCCTGATCCTGTCTCAAAAAAAAGAAAGATACCCAGGGCAAGTTAAGTTCGGAGGGGCACAGAGCTCCCATGCCCTCTGTTGAACATGCGACCCTCCCAGCATCTCCTGTGTCCAGCAACCCTGAAAGCTCTGCAAACCCCGTTCAGGGTGTTTATGGAGGCTTTATTATGCAAGCATGATTGATAAAATCTTTGGCTGTTGGTGATTAAGTCAGTCTCCAGCCCCTCTTCCTCCTGGAGTTCAGTGCACGAGGCTGAAAGTTCCAAGCCTCTTACCATGTGGTCGCGTGGTAATCAGCCCTCCTCTTGAGGAAATTTAGGAGCTTGCAGTCACCCAGTCATCTGAACAACATCCCCAAATGCATTCTTACCATGCTGGAGATCCCAAAGTTCTTAGAGGCTCTTGTGTTAGAAACCTGGGACCAAGACCAAATATTAAAACAAAAGATGTTCCTGTCACATCTATCACTGAGGTCTTTGTAAGAGCTTTAGAAGCTCTGTGCCACGAACCAGGGACAGAGATTAAATATATATTTCTTTTCTTTTTTTTGAGACAGAATCTCCTGTGTCATCCAGGCTGGAGTGCAGTGATGTGATCATAGCTCACTATAGCTTTGGCCTCCTGAGATCAAGCAATCCTCCCATCTCAACCTCCCAAGTAGCTAGGACTCCACATGCATGTCACCCATGCCCAGCTCATTTTTGTAGTCAAGAGTTTCGCCATGGTGGCCAGGTTGGCCATGTTGGCCAGATGGGGTCTTCTTTTGTTGCCCAGGCTGGCCACAAATTCCTGGGCTCAAGTGATCCTCCCACCTCGTCCTTGTAGAGATGAGATTTAGTTATGTTGTCCAGGCTGATCTCAAACTCCTGGGCTAAATCGATTGTCTCACCTCAGCCTCTCAAGTAGCTGGGACTACAGGCGCATACCACCATGTCGGGCTAATATTTATTTTTATTTTTTTCTAGAGGTGGGGGTCTCACTGTGTTTTTCATGCTAGTTTCAAACTTCGGGCCTCAAGTGTTCCTCCTGCCTTGACCTCCCAAAGTGTTGGGATTCTGGGTGGGAGCCACCATGCCCAGCAATCACAAGGGTCTTTATAAAAGAAAGAGAGTAGGAGATTCAGAATTGGAGCAGGAGATGTGGTGATGAAAGCAGAGGTAAGAGAGGGAGATTTGAAGATGCTTCACCTCTGGCTTTGAAGATGGAGTCAGGGGCCATGATCCAAGGAATGGGGGTGGCTTCCAGAAGCTGGAAAAGCCAAGGGAACATATTAGAGTCTCCAGAAGGAATGCAGCCCTGCTGACACCTTGACTTTAGCCTTAATAGACCTAGTTTGGGTTTCTGGCCCCTGGAACTGTAAGATGGTAGATTTGTGGTGTTTTAAGCCACTAAATGTAGGAAACTTCAAACTATGTTGCAGCAGCAAGAAGAAATGAACATGAAGCCAGGCATGATGGCTCATGCCGGTAATGCCAGCACTTTAGGAATTTAGGCAGGAGGATCACTTGAGGCCAGGAGTTCAAGACCAGTCTGGGCAACATAGTAAGACCTTGTCTCTACAAAAAATGAAAAAATTGGCCAGGCGTGGTAGCTCACGCCTATAATTCCAGCACTTTGGGAGGCCGAAGCGGGCAGATTACCTGAGGTCAGGAGTTCGAGACCAGCCTGGCCAACATTGTGAAACCCCGGCTCTACTAAAAATACAAAAAATTAGCTGGGCGTGGTGGCACGCACCTGTAATCCCAGCTACTTGGAAGGCTGAGGCAGGAGAATCACTTGAATCTGGGAGGTGGAGGTTGCAGTGAGCCGGGATCGCACCGTTACACTACAGCCTGGGCAAGAAGAGTGAAACTCTGTCTCAAAATAAAATAAAATAAAATAAAATAAAATAAAATACTAAAAAATTTAGCCAGGCATGGTGGCATGAACCTGGAGTCCCAGATACTCGGGAGGCTGAGGTGGGAGGATCGCTTGAGCCTGGAAATTTGAGGTTGCAGTGAGCTGTGATTTCGCCACTGCACTCCAGCCTTGGTGACAGTGAGATCTTGAAAAAAAGAAAGAAGAAAGTAAAGAAAGAAGAAATGAGCATGGTGGGCATGGGGACAGATGGCAATGTTAACTAGAATGGTCAGGGGTGGCCTCCTAAGTGAAAATTGAGTAAAGACTTGAAGGAGGGGAAGGAGCTGGCCAAGGTGCTGAGGGAAGAGGATTGTAGGCAGAAACAATAGAATAAACTGTCTGAGGTGTGTCTCCGGCTCTGGAAGGAGGCCCATGGAGCAGATGGAGAGAGGGAGAGAATTGGGGGAGGGAGCCAGGGAGTTGCTGGGTGGGGATCAGTACAGATCACATAAGCCCTGGGAGGTTATTGGTGGGGCTTTGGCTTTTACTCTGACTCAGATGGGAACTGCGGGAGGGTTCTGAGCAGAGAGGCGACGTGATCTGTCTCCCGATTTAAAAGCATTCTCTGGCTGCTGAGTTGAGAAAGACTGTGGGAAGATGTGATAGAAGCATGGGGGCCAAGCTTTGGCAACATCCAGGCGGGAGATGATGGTGGTCCTGACCAGGGTCGTGGTGGTGTTGAGAGATGGTCAGAGGGGAGAACTAGGGGAGGAGGCCAGGGAGTTGCTGGGTGGGGATCTTTAGTAGATGTCGAAGACAATCAACAGGATTTCCTGACAGACTGGATATGGGGTGTGAGAGAAGGCAGGGGTCAAGGTTGAGTTTGATTGTTACTGAAATTATTAAGTAATTTTAAAAAACACTACTGCCTTTCCCAGTCCTACCAAGTATGGGATGCTAGATTAAAGAAATCTCTTCAGGCTCATTGCAGTGGCTCATGCCTGTAGTCCCAGCTGTTTGGTAAGCAGAGGTGCGAGTATCTTTTAAGGGCAGGTGTTCAAGACCAGCCTGGACAACACAGCAAGATCTGCTCTTTACAAAAATATTTTTCAAAATTAAATAAATGTAGCTAGGCATGGTGATGTGTACTTGTAGTTTCAGCTACTCAGGAGGCTGAAGTGGGCAGATCTCTTGAGGTCAGGAGTTTGAGGCCAGCTTGGGCAACATAGCAAGACCCCTCACTCTACAAAAAAATTAAATAACCAGGCATGGTGACACTCAACTGTACTACCAGCTACTGGGGAGCTGAGGCAGGAAGATGGCTTGAGCCCAGGAAGTCGAGGCTGCAGTGAGCTGTAAGTGCACAGCTGCACTCCAGTCTGGGTGACAGGACCTGTCTCACAATACAAATAAAAATACAAGTAAAATAATATCTCAAGTCAGAGCCTTTTGGCTCTGCAGCCCTTGCAACCCCTCAGCCGTGCAGTGGGGTTTGCGTCGCTGGGAATGAGGAGACCCCTGCCCGGTGTTGTTGCCTGACTAATCAGTGTTTTAAAACATATATTAATCGGGGTGGGCGCGGTGGCTCACACCTGTAATCCCAGCACTTAGGGAGACCCAGGCGGGTGGATCACCTGAGGTCAAGAGTTCAAGACCAGCCTTGCCAACATGGCGAAACTCCTTCTCTACTAAGAAAATACAATAATTAGCTGGACGTGGTAGTGGGCGCCTGTAATCCCAGCTACTTGGGAGGCGGAGGTAGGAGAATCGCTTGAACCTGCGGGGCGGAGGTTGCAATGAGCTGAGATTGCGCCACTTCACTCCCACCTGGGCGAAAGAACAAGACTTTGTCTCAAAGAAAAAAAAAAGTATTATATCAACATGTCATGGTTTTATTATTAATATGTAATGAATATTAAATATTTTTAAAATCTTGTATTATATCAACATGTAATGGCTTTAATATGTGATGAATAATATTTAAAAAATTGTTTCTTATTTTCTAGTTTTAATATAATTATCTACAGAAAGAAATAGTCTTAGAGATCTTCAATAAAGTTAAAAAATGTCAAGGGATGTTAGACCCCAAAAGATTGAGAATTTCTAGTTTAGAAATATTCAGAGTAAGCCACATACAACTTGCTACTTGAACTATTTTTTTTCTTTGTTTTTTATTTTAGGAGATGGGGTCTCACCCTGTCACCCAGGCTTGAGTACAGTAGTGCTATCACAGCTCACTGCAGCCTTGAACTCCTGGGCTAAGGATCCTCCTACCTGAGCCTCCTGAGTAGCTAGAACTGTAGGTACACATGACGATACTTGGCTAATTTTTAAATTGTTTTGTAGACATGGGGTCTCACTTTGTTGGCCAGGCTGGTGTCAAACTAATGGCCTCAAGTGACCCTTCCACCCCTGCCTCCCATCCTAGAGGTATGTGCCACCACAAGGAGCACTTGTTCAATTTTCTAAAGAAAAAATTTCTAAAGTAAGGCTGTGGGATGATGGCAGGAAGATAAAAGAAAAACAGAAGAATAAGTTACAATGACTTATTCACACATATTCTTTTGACAGCAAGAAGAACTTTTAGTATATACATTCCTTACAAACAAACAAAAGGCAGATAAACAATGTTGTATAGGAACTTCAACACACACTGTACAATATTCCCACTTTGCTGACATAAGTTATGGAAATTTCGTGGTTTACTTGAGTGTCACTACCAGTATTTTGCTTCTCTGATTTTTATCAACTTCCTCATCTGTTAACTTCTCTCCAAGGTATGTCATGTCACGACATACTGCCGCTGCACGACCATGGCCAGCGTCTTCCTATTAAACATGTAGAATGCTTTCCTAATTTCTCTTTTTACTCTCTGTCTTTGTGTTTTGCATTTTCCTTACTTTTATTGTCAGAAACTCCAGAAAGTCAATCGTACTAATTTATCACGATTTGCTTTATTAATTTATACTTTGCTTATATGGAATTTTGCCCAACAGACCTCAGTACAATTTCTAACCTGTTTTGTTTTTTTTTCTGAGACAGGGTCTCCCTCTGTTGTCCAAGGCTGGAGTGTAGTAGTGCTATCACAGCTGACTGCAGCCTCAACCTTCCAGGCTGAAGTGATTCTCCCATCTCAACCTCCCACGTGGCTGAGACTACAGGTGCTTGCCACCATGCCCAACTAATATTTGGAATTTTCATATAAGTGGATTCCAGAGGGGTGACAGCAAAACGTGAGTAAGCATGGGTTTTGGTATATGCAGAGATGGGGGGCTGGAACTAATTCTGTATACTGAGGGACGACGACTGTATATGTTTTTACAATTACGCTGTAGGATACATACTGTTGCATAGCCTTGAAAATAATAATTTTTAATTGAGTGGAATAATAATAATATTGCTAAAAGTAGCAGCTGGCCAGGTGTGGTGGCTCACACTGGTAATTGCAACACTTTGGGAGGCTGAGGCAGGAGGATGGCTTGAGGCCAAGAGTTTGCGATAGGCCTTGGAAACAAAGGGGGAGTCACCATCCCTACAGAAAAATACATGAATTAGCTTAGTGTGGTGGCATGTTCCTGTAGTCCCAGCTACTTGGGAGGCTGAGGTGGGAGGATCACTTGAGCCCAGGGAGGCTGAGACTGCAGTGAGTCATGATCAGGCCTCTGCACTCCAGCCTGGGTGACAGAGTGAGACCCTGTCTCAAAACAACAAAAAAGTAGCAGCTAACATTAACTGACCTTTTATACCAGGTGCCTATTGATATCATAGTTTAATTTCTTATAACTGTTTCTTATTTCACTTACCAACTCTGTCTTCAGTTACTCCCAGATTTTTACTGTGTTTGTACAGATGACCTTTTGTTTAGATTGAATTGTCTCCCCAGAAGTAAGATTACTGTGAGACATGGTGAATGGACATTCTCATTACCCTTGATGTAAATTGACAGGGTTTTGGGTGCCTCCCAGCCTATAATCTTAGCACTTTGGGAGGCTAAGAGAGGAGGAGTGCTTGAGGCCAAGAGTTGGAGGAGGCAGTATGGCAATATGGTGAGACCCTGTCTCCATTATTTTCAGAAATTGACAAGCTTTACCCGGGAAGGCTTATACACAATTTAAACACCCCTCATAGTATAAGAAAGTGCCCATTTCACTGCACCTTTGCCAGCACAGGGTATTATAATTTAGTAAGTCATTTTTTGTTTGATTATTTTAAATAGATAAAAGACCTCATATTACTTTACTTGTCACATTTCAACATCTTTCCTTAGCTTATTAGCTCTATCTCTTTTCTGTCTGTAAATGGTGGTTGTTGTTTTGTTCTTTGAGACAGGGTCTTGCTCTGTCACCAGGCTGGACTGTAGTGGCATAATCATGCCTCACTGCAGCCTTGACCTCCCAGGCTCAAACTTCAGCGTTCCGAGTAGCTGGGACTACAAGTGTGCACCACCACTCTCAGCTAACTTTTTTCTTTTTTTGGATAGAGACGGTCTCACTGTGTTGTCCAGACCGGTCTCTAGCTCCTGGGCTTAAGCAATCCTCCTGCATTAGCTTCTCAAATTGCTGGAATTTCAGGCATGAGCCACCATGCCTGGCCTGGGCTAGTCCTGTATTCTCTAGAGTTCTCTTTACTTTGTGCTAGCCAGTCTCTCATTATGCTGTTCACCTGTTATAATGAATAATTCTCCGTATTAAATTTTACCACTTTAAACTTTTGAGTGGTTTATGCTTCCTGATTGGACTCTGACTAATATGTTAGGAAGGGTCCCAGGAGATAAACCCACACAGATGGGATTTGGGCATAGGTTTGGTTTCCCAGGGGGCAGTGCTGAGCTCTTTGCCAGTAGGAAATGGGATGCTGGTGATTTCCAGGAAGTGACCTCACAATGACTCAGGCTAGCACTTACTGTTGATTGTGATGAAATGCCAGCTGAGGCACATGCCTTGGGAGCTAAGTGGTTGCTGCACTTGACCACTATGAAGACTGGTGTGGGAAGGGTCGCTTAGGATGCACTTGAGCAGGGGTCCCCAACCCCTGAGCCATGGAGCTGTAAGGAGCCACACAGCAGGAGGTGAGTGGTGTCGAGTGAGGGAGTGAGGGAAGCTTCGTCTGTATTTACAGCCACTCCCCTTTGCTCACATTCCTGCCTGAGCTCCACCTTCTCAGATCAGCAGCAGCATTAGATTCTCATAGGAGAACGCACCCTGTTGTGAACCGTGCATGTGAGGGATCTAGGTTTCGCTGTCCTTATGAGAATCTAATACCTATTGATCTGTCACTTTCTCCCATCACGCTCAGGTGGGACCATCCAGTTGCAGGAAAACAAGCTTAACACGCCCACTGATTTTACATTATGGTGAGTTCTATAATTATTTTATTAGATATTACAGTGTAATAATGGAAATGAAGTGCCTAATAAATGTAAATGTGCTTAAATCTTTTGGCCCAGCTCCTACCACCCGGCAGCCTCTCCAGGCCCAGAACTTTCTCCAGTCAGCCTCTACAGACCAAGCTCATGACTCACAATGGCCTATTTAGGCCCATACCCTACCTCACGGCAGTCTCCGCAGATGAGCCTACTGCCTCACAACAGCCTCCACAGGCACAGCTCCATCATTACAATGGCCTCTTTAGACCCAGCTCCTGCCTCCCAGCCTTCTCTCCAGGCCCTGAACTTTCTGAAGTCGACCTCACCAGGCCCAGCTCATGCTTCTTTGCAGCCTCTCCAGGCCCAGCTCCTGCATCTTGGTGGCCCCTCCAGGCCCAGCCTCTGCCTCCCGTCGGCCTCTACAGTCCCAACATCTGCCTCATAGCAGATTCTTGAGGCCCAGCATCTGCCTCACTGTGGACCCCCCAAGCCAAGCTCCCAACCTTTCAGCAGCTTCTACACACCCAGCTCCTGCCACCCAGTGGCCTCTTTAGGCCAAGCTCATGCTTCACAAGGGCCTTTCCAGGCCCAACTTTCGTCTCATGGCAACCTTCCCTGGCCAGATTCCTGCGTGTCTCCCAGCAGCCTAGACAGGCCCAGGTCTTGCCTCACACTGGCCTCTCTACATCCAGCTCATGCCTCACGGTGACCTCTCCAGGCACAGCTCCTGTCCCAGAACGTCATCTCCGGGCCCAAAACTTACTCAAGTCAGCCTCTCTAGTCCCAACTGCTGCCTCCTGGTGGCCTATGAAGGCCCAAAATCTCCTCAAGTTGACCTCTCCCGGCCCAGCTCCTGCCTCCTGTCAGCATCTACAGGCCCAACCTCTGCCTCATGGGGGCTTCTCCGGGCCCAGCTCTTCCTATTGGCTGAGTCTACAGGCACAACTGCTGCCTCACAACAGCCTTTTTTGGCCCAGTTCCTGTCCAGTTCATGGCGGCCAATGTAGGCCCAAAACTTCCTCAGGTCATACTCTCCAGGCCCACCTTCTGCTTCCTGGTGGCATGAACAGGCCCAGCTTTGACTTGAGAACAGCCTCTGCAGGCCCTGCTCTTGCCTCCCAGGGGCTTTTCCAAGCCCAGCTCTTGCCTCATGGCAGCTGCCCCAGGCCAAATTTCTTCCTGCCTGCCAGCAGCCTCAACAGGCACAGCTCCTCCCTCACAGTGGCCCATTTAGGCCCCACTCATGACTGTCGGGCCATTTCCAGGCCTAGTGCCTGCCTCCTGGCTGACTCTTTCTTGAAGCCCAAAACTTCCTCAAATCAGCCTTTTGCCTAACTTCTGTCTACTGTCGGACTCTACAGGCCAGCCTCTGCCTCACAGTGGACCCTCCAGACCCAGATGGTGTCTCACTGTGGCATCCTCAGGCGAAGCTCCTGCCTTTCGGCAGCCTCTACAGGCCCAGCTCCTGCCTTGCAGTGGCCTCTTTAGGCCAAGCTCATGCCGCATGGCGACTTTTCCAGGCACAGCTTTTGCCTTTTGCAGCCTGTCCAGGCCCAGAATGTCCTTAACTCGGCATCTCCAGGACGAGCTTATCCTCCCAGTGCGTCTACAGGCCCGTCTCCTGCCTCACAACAACCTCTTTTGGCCCAACTCCTGCTGAGCTGCTGGCAGCCTCTGTAGGCCACAGACTTCTTAAAGTAAAGCTTTCCAGCCACCTTCGGCCTCCCAGCAGCCTCAGCAATCAAACTATTCCCTCACTGCGGCCACCGAAAGCCAAGTTTCTCCCTGCCTCATGGCATCCTCCGAAAACTGAGCATTTGCCTCACGGTGGCCTCCCCAGGCCACGAATCTGCCTGCCTCCCAGGCAGGTGCTGCCTCACAATGGTCTCTTTAGGCCCAGCTCATGCTAAAAGATGGACTCTCCAGGTACAGCTCTTGCCTCCTGGCAGCCTCTGCAGGCCCAAATTCTCCAAAAGTTGGCCTCTCCTAACTCAGCTCCTGCCTCATGTCGGCCTACACAGGCCCAGACTCTTACCACACAGTAGACCCTCCAGGCCCACCACTTGCCTGATCATAGCCTCCTAAGGCCAAGCTCCTGCCTTTCAGCAGCCTCTACAGGCCCAGCTCCTGCCTCGCAATTGCCTTTGTAGGCCAAGATCATGCCGCGAAGTGGCCTTTCCTAGCCTAACTTTTGCTTTTTGACGCATACTCCAGTCCCAAAACTTCCTCCAGTCAGCCGGTCCAGGCCAAGCTCTTCCTCCCAAAGGCTTCTGCAGGCCAAAATCATCCTGAAGTCACCCTCTGCAGGCCCAGCTCCTGCCTCCAAGTGCTGTGTAGGCCAAGCTAATGCCTCACAGCACACTTTCCAGGCTGAGCGTTTCCTTTTGTGCATCCTCTCCAAGCCCTGAACTTACTCCACTTGGCCTCTCCAGACCAAGCTCTCCCTCCCAGTGGCCTCTACAGGCCAAAATTGTCCTCAGGTCTGCCTCTCCAGGGCCACCTCTTAGCTACCAGTGGCTTCTGCTGGCCAAAATCGACCTCAAGTCAGCCTCTTCACACCCAGCTCTTGCCTCTGAGTGGCCTCTCCAGGAGCAAAACTTTCTCAAGTCGGCCTCTCCAGGCCCAGCCTCCTGCTTCCCGAGGGCATGTACAGGCCCAGCCTCTGCCTCACAGCAGACTCTCCACACCCAGCTCTTCCCTGTCTGCGGCCTCTCCAGTCCAAAGCTGCTGCTGCCTTTTGGCAGCTTGTACAGGCTCAGCTCCTCCCTCACGGTGGCCTCTTTCAGCCCAACTCATGCCTCTTGCAACCTGCCCAAGTGTCAGCTCCTGTCTCACACTGGCCTGTTGAGGGCCAGCTCATGCCTCTCGTGGCCTCAACAGGCCCATCCCCTGCCTGTCGGCGGCCTCTACAGGCCCGGCCTCTACCTCACAGTGGGCTCTCCAGGCCCACCTCTTCCTCACCGTGGCCTCCTGGGGCAATGCTCCTCCCTCTCGGGAGCCTCTGCGGGCCCAGCTCCTGCCTCCCAGTGGCCTCTGTAGACCAAGCCCGTGCCTCAGGGCAGCCTTTCCAGGCCTAGCGTTTGCTGCTTTGCATCCTCTCCAGGCCCTGGACTTCCTCCAGTCGGCCTCTCCAGGCCCAGCTCTTCCTCTCGGCGGCCTCTGCAGGGCCAGACTGTCGTCAAGTCGGCCTGTCCAGGGCCAGCTCCTGCCTCCCGGCGGCCTCTGCAGGCCCAAGTCGTTCTCAAGTCGGCTTCCCCAGGCCCAGCTCCGGCCTCTTGGCGGCCTCTCCGGGTGCAAAAGTTCCTCGAGTCAGCCTCTCCAGGCCCAGCTCCTCCTGCCTCCCAGTGGCCTCTTTCGGCCCAGCCCAGCTCATGCCTCCCGGCGGCCTTCCCAGGCCCCGCTTTTGACTTTCGGTGGCCTCTGCAGGCCTCGACAAGGCCCGGCCTCCTGCCTCCAGAAGGCCTGCACAGGCCCAGCCTCTGCCTCACAGCGGACTCTCCACGCCCAGCTAGCTCTCGCCTCACTGCGGCCTCCCGAGTCCAAAGCTCCTGCCTCTCGGCCGCTTCGGCAGGCCCAGCTCCCGCCTGCCAGTGGCCTCTTCAGGCCCATGGGGCTCATTCCTCACAACAGCCTTTCCAGGCCCAGTTTTTCCCTTCCGGCGGCCTCTCCGGGCCCAGAACCTCCTCAAGTCGGCCTCTCCAGACCCACTTGCAGCCTCCCGGCATCCTCTCCGGGCCCAGCTCTTCCTCCCGGCTGCGTCTCCAGGCCCGACTTTGGCCTCCCAACAACGTCTTTGGACTCAGCTCCTGCCCAGCTCCCAGCGGCCCTGGTAGGCCCACAGCTTCCCGAAGCCAAGCTCCCCAGGCCCAGCTCAGGCCTCACGGTGGCCTCTCCAGGCCAGCTCCTGCCCTCTGATGGCATCTGCAGGCCCCAAACGGCCTCCGGTTGGTGGGCTCCTCTAGGCCCAGCTTGGGCCTCCTGGCGGCCTCTGCAGGCCCAAATCGTCCTGAAGTCGGCCTCTCCAGGCCCAGCTCCGGCCTCCCGGCGGCCTCTGCAGGCCCAAGTCATCCTCAAGTCAGCCTGGAATTGGGCCTGGAAGAGAGCAAGTCGGCCTCCCCGGGCCCAGCTCCGGCCTCTTGGCGGCCTCTCCGGGTGCAAAAGTTCCTCGAGTCAGCCTCTCCAGGCCCAGCTCCTCCTGCCTCCCAGTGGCTTCTTTCAGCCCAGCCCAGCTCATGGCTCTCAGCGGCCTTCCCAGGTCCCGCTTTTGACTTTTGGCGGCCTCTTCAGGCCCAGAACTTGACCTCCAGTCGGCCTTTGCAGGCCCGGCCTCCTGCCTCTCAAAGGCCTGCACGGGCCCGGCCTCGGCCTCGGCCTCACAGCGGACTCTCCACGCCCAGCTAGCTCTCGCCTCACTGTGGCCTCCCCAGTCCAAAGCTCCTGCCTTTCGGCCACTTCAGCAGGTCCAGCTCCTGCCTGCCAGTGGCCTCTTTAGGCCCAGCTCATTCCTCACAACGGCCTTCCCAGGCCCCGTTTTTCCCTTCCGGCAGCCTCTTGGCCTCTAATTTGTTTATCTTTTGTGTATAAATCCCAAAATATGGAATTTTGGAATATTTCCACCATTATATATTTTGGTAGGTAATTTATTTGGAGTGAGTTTCTGCACCATGCCAGAATTTTTTATTTTATTTTCCTTATTATTTAGTGTTAAACAGGTTTAATGACGGTCATGGCAACTTTTTGGCACAGTGAAAAATATCGCCCATGATCAACGTGTTCTGTTCTGGGGAAGGGGGCAAAGGCAGGGTGAATCACTTTCTTAAAAAGTATAGCTCAAGTTGGGAGTGCAGAGGGAATGGGGAGAAAACCCTCCCGCTGCCTGTGTCGAAGTGTAGGAGCCCCCACCCCCATACTCACCTGAGTCCAGCCCCTCTGGGGAAAGAAGGGGTGCATGAACTCCCCCTAGTCCACAGGCACCTCCCTGTGGCCCAAGGCTCTCTTCACACTCCATCTTGAAGCCCCAGCAGGAGCTATTTTCCAAAAAGTGAAAAGCTCTGAAGGTCCCACAATTCATGGTACATACAGGGGCTCGGAGGAGGGAAACTGCCCAGCTTTCCCCCGGCACAGCTGCAGGGGTAGGGGGTATAGATAAGAGGAGCAGGCCTTGGCCAGGCGTGGTGGCTCACGCCTGTAATCCCAGCACTTTGGGAGGGGGAGGCAGGCGGATCATGATGTCAGGAGATCGAAATCAGCCTGGCCAAGATGATGAAGCCCCATCTGTACTAAAAATACAAAAATTAGCCAGACGTGGTAGCGTGCACCTGTAATCCTAGCTACCCGGAAGGCTGAGGCAGGAGAATGGCGTGAACCCGGCGGGAAGAGGTTGCAGTGAGCCAAGATCGCACCACTGCACTCCAACCTGGGCAACAGAGCAAGACTCGGTCTCAAAAAAAAAAAAAAAAAAAAAAGCAGGCCTTGTTCCGTCCCAAACTGAAAGGATTAAATGGCTTTACCTGGGAGAAGATAACCATCCTGCCCTCCATTGCTACCCCCACATACTGTCCATGTTCTCAGGGGGTACTGTGAGTCCTGGGATCTTCTTTGGGGTCGCCCACCTGCCTGTGGTAGTTATGGAGACCCCCAGGTGTTGAGGCAGGGCTGGGGTGTCCCCTTCCAACCAGGCTGTCAAGGCCCCAGCTCTGGGGCAGAGGCAGTGGCAGGGCAGCCAGGGTTGCGCCAGAGCCTGAGCAGGGTGAGGTGGGGTCAGGCAGGGCTGGGAGTCAGGGCAGGGGCAGCAGCAGTGGACCCGCTATGCACACATCTTCTTCTCCAAGGTTTGTGTGCAGAACATCCTGCCCATGTTGCCCCAGCAGCTTCAGTTGGCACCTGCCCCAGTCCAGCCTCTGGGAACCATGCAGCGGCTCCCAGTGGCCCTGCACCCACCACCAGCATCCGTTTCACCTGCAGTTGAAGATCAGTGAGGTGCCCAGAAGATCATGCAGTCATCAGTCCCACAGAGCAGCCCGCGAGGCTGAGGCTCCTCCCACTGGACCGTCACCCAACTGGCACCACTGCTGCCCCTGCCCCTACTCTCAGCCTGACGTGACTCTCGGGCAGAGACAGTGGTGGGGCAGCCAGGGCAGCGTCAAGAGTCTGAGCCAGGTGAGGTCCGGTCAGGACCCCCACAGGGCTGGGAGTCAGGGCAGGGGCAGAACAAACCTTGGAGGGGAAGATGTGTGCATAGTGGGCCTGGTGGGCGGCTGTGGCCTAGTGGACAGGAAGAAGCAGTGGGCCTGGAAGAGCTGCATGATCAGGGCCGGCACTGGTCCAGGGCGCGTGCAGTGAAGAGGACAGCACCTTCTCGGTCTCCGGTTCCCTGAGCCTGTCCTCGGCTTCTCCACCTGTACAGGCAAAGGGGAAGCTGTCCCCATCACACATGGCACACTTGGGGGTGTTGGGCTTTGGGCTGCAGCTGGAGCATCTTCTCATCTTGCATTTGGGTGTGGTGGGGTCCTCCAGTGTGGGATCCATGTCCGTGGGGTTCCCTCTGCCCCGACCCCGAAAGCCCAGTCAGTTTCTCTTCAGGCTCTGCCCCCTGGGTGGCTCAGCCCAGCTCCTGCCTAGGAAAGCCTTAGTGTTGGGAGGGACCCTGATGACTGAGGAGCCTGGTAGCTCCAGGTCGCCCACACTTTCAGGTCTTTTGCACCAGAAGGTGGCAGGATCCATTGGGAGGAAACAGGTCGCCTTGGAAGGTGTCCCTGGGCCCCCATCCCCAGGGGTAGGGGCCGTAGGGGGCCCGCTCTGCTGCCTTGACCAGACTCCTGGGCTTTGAAGGCTCCTGGGCCCAGTAAGAAGGAGGTGGGTGTCAAGGTTGAGGAGGAAGCATCCGAGTATGTGTAGGAGGAGGACAGGGTGGGACCATAGACTTTGCCAAAAGCTGCAGGTGGATCGGGGGACCCTGGGGGCTCAGTATCCAGCAAGGGGCAGCAGGAGTAAAGGAGGAAGGAATGACAGGTGCAAATACCTTCCCACCAAAGCCCTTGTTGCCCTCTGGCTCCTCCCCAGAGTTGTCCCCACTCTCAGTCGGTCACCCAGTCCTTGAACTTGAGATCGGTGTCAGTGGTGCTAAAGCCATCATCAGCAATGACATCATCACCCCCTCCTCCTCATGGATGACCGTGTGCTCCTCGTCACTCGCTATGTCCACACTGGCCATGTGCTGGGAATGAGCAGCTCAGGTGGGCAGCAGCAGGGCTGCCCACTGGTCACCTCCCTCACCAGGGGCTGCAAAGTGGCCTGGAGCTCCATACTGAGTAGAAGCCTTTGGGCCAGAGTATGATGCAGTGCCAGACACCACCTGTGTCAGTTCCTGTAGTGCCTGACGGTCTATTTCCCTGCCATCCAGGCTGTGTACCCCCCTGTGGGTGAAGGCTTGGGCCAGGCTGAGCCAGGTTCCCTGACTGTGTGCAGCCGTTCTGCCCCACAGAAGCTGCTCCTTGGTATCCGAGCTCTGGAGTGTTTGGGCTGCAACTGACAGGAGTTCAGAGGACACCCCAGGGGCAGTGGCAGTGCCCGTCTCTGATATGCTCCGCTCCCACAAGCCCTTGTTACACTCCTGCTAGCCCCTGGCTTGTGGGCTTGGCCTCTGAGCTGGACTTCTTTCGGTCCTTGTTGCAAGTGGGCCACCTTCACCTGGAAGGCCAGGTCGTGGTATTTCTGCGTCTCATTGGGCCCCAGGGTGTACCACCGCTCGCTCAGCATCTGGCTGACGGTCCGGTTATCCTGGTTGGGGTGACCCTGGTGCGCCCTGCCAGGGCCTGGTGCCGCTTGCTGAAGATCATGACCACCACTCATGGGCCACTGGATGTGGTCCTTGTCCCATTTGTTGGGGCTGCGTCCATCCTTCTCAGAAGATGAGTCCTGTTCCTTGTGCAGGGCACTGAGGGACTGGGCCTGACATCATCTGAGTGGTAGAGGCAACGGGGTGTCAGGAGACATGATGGAGAGGAAAGCATCATCATGGTCATTCTCTGTCTCACTGTCCAGCAGGGACTCCCCTGAGGGGCCCAGGGCTCCTCCTCCATGGTGGGAGGTGAGCTTTTACCAGGTTCCACCACCCCCAAAGTGTGTGGGGTTGCGGGCCCTGGGCTTTCAGGGCAGGTGGCTCCAGGGGGCCGCCCAGAGTCAGCACTCCCAGTCCCACCTGGTGGATGCTCATGAGCAACAGCTGCCAACTTGGCAGGTTGTTTTCTCTGGTTGGAGGCCACTGAGTGACTGGCAGGTTGCTGGGCCTCGTGTGGCTGCAGGGAGGGGTCAGGAAGGGGATGGAGTACCAGGGGAACACGGCCACAGAGTGACCTTCCACATTCCTCCACACGAACATGCTGACGCCACGGGAGGCCTCACTGAACGCAGGCCTGGGGGCCGAGTACTTGGTCCGGGCAGGGGGTTCCTGGCAGGGGCTCACCTCCTCGCCCCCTCCTCAGCCAAGGTGGCTTGGGCCCAGAGAAGGGGGGGTTGGAGAGGAGCAGAAGGCCAGGCCTCAAGTTTTGTTTTTTTTTGTTTGTTTTGTTTTTTGTTTTTGAAATGTAGTTTGACTCTTGTCACCCAGGCTGGAGTGCAGTGGCACGATCTCAGTGGCCTTCATACCTGGCTAATTTTTTGTATTTTTACTGGAGGTGGGGTTTTGCCATGTTGGCCAGGCTGGTCTTGACCTCCCATCCTCAGGTGATCCACCCACCTCAGCCTCCCAAAATGGGATTACAGGCATGAGCCACTGCTCCCAACTTCATTCATTTTTACTTGAAAAACTCCATTAAGCATTTTTTTAAGGTAGACCTAGTGGTCCTGAATGCCCTCAGCTTTGTTTGTTGAGGAAACACATTATTTCTTCTTTCTTTCTGAAGGACAGCTTTGTCAGACATAGTATTAGTTGCTGGCAGTTTTTTTCTTTCAGCACTTTGAATGTATTATTCGATTCTGTCCTGACCTGCAAAGTTTCTTTAACTTTTGACTATTTGATTATATTGTGACTTGGTGAGTATCTATTTGGTTTCAACCTCTTTAGGAATCTTTAAGCTTCATGGATTTAGATGTCTAAATCTTTCCCATGATTTAGGCAGTTTTCAGCCATTCTTTAAATAAGCTTTCTTTTCCTTTCTCTACTTTCCTTCTCAAACTCCCATAACCTGACAATGGTTTGCCTAATGGTGTCTTGTTGGCTTTCTTTTCTCTGTCTCTTTTTTTTTCTTTTTTTTTTTTTTGAGACAGAGTCGTGCTCTGTCACCCAGGCTGGAGTGCAATGTGTGGTCTCGGCTCACATTGCACTCCAACCTCCGCCTCCTGGGTTCAAGTGATTCTCCTGCCTCAGCCTCCCAAGTAGCTGGGACTACAGGTGTGTGCCACCACACCCGGCTAATTTTTGTATTTTTAGTAGAGATGGGGTTTTGTCATGTTGGCCAGGCTGGTCTTGAACTCCTGACCTCTTAATCTGCCTGCCTTGGCCTCCCAAAGTGTTGGGATTACAGGCTTGAGCCACCACGCCCAGCCTTCTTTTCTCTTTTTTATTCTTTTTTTCTTTGTCCTCTGACTGGATAATTTCAGAAGATCTATATTCAAGTTTACAGATTCTCCTGTTGAAGTTTACTATTGTGTTATATCACCCAGTCTGGTCTTGAACTCCTGGGCTCAAGCGATCCTCCCACCTTGGCCTCCCAAAGTGCTGAGTTTACGAGCATGAGCCACTGCATCCAGTCAGTCCCAGCACTTTGGGAAGCTGAGGTGGGAGGATCACTTGAGCTCAGGAGTTTGAGACCAGCCTGGGCAACATACTGAGAACTTGTCTCTATATTAAAAAAAAAAAAAAAAGTCTTTGAGAGGCCAAAGTGGGAGGATCACCTGAGGTCAGGAGTTCGAGACCAGCCTGGCCAACATGGCAAAACCCCATCTCTACTAAAAATACAAAAATTAGCCAGGTGTGGTGGCACACGCCTGTAGTGGTGGTGCATGCCTGTAGTCCCAGCTACTCAAGAGGCTGAGGCAGGAGAATCACTTGAACTGGGAGATGGAGGTTGCAGTGAGCTGAGATCGCACCAGTGCACTCCAGCCTGGGCAACAGAGTGAGACTCCATCTTATAAAAGGAAAAAAGAAAGAAAAGAAAAATTCCATATCTGAGTGTTTACTCCTGAGTTTTTGAGATTGCTATTAAGATCGTGCTCTACTGTGATGATTTGGGTTTGTTTGATAATCAGAAAAAAGCATATTCTTTTGGGTGTTCAGCCACACTGCTTTGGTGTCACAACTGCACATTGGTTTCACAGCTGCAGGACAAGTTCGAGCATCTTAAAATGATTCAACAGGAGGAGATAAGGAAGCTCGAGGAAGAGAAAAAACAACTGGAAAGAGAAATCATAGATTTTTATAAAATGAAAGCTGCCTCTGAAGCACTGCAGACTCAGCTGAGCACTGATACAAAGAAAGACAAACATCGTAAGAAGCAATAGTTTCTCTTACTATTCTGAGAGCCTTATCATTCTACATCCCATCTTCCTGTGAGATTGTCTTTGTAGCATTTAACTCTAATTGCAGTTCTCATTTTAAAAATTGGCTTGCTTATTGTATATTTTCCCCAACTAAAGCGTGAACTCCTAGCAGGGCGTGGTGGCTCATGCCTGTAATCTCAGCACTGTGGAAGGCCGAGGTGGGTCGACTACCTGAGGTTAGGAGTTCGAGACCAGCCTGACCAACATAATGAAACGCTGTCTCTACTAAAAATACAAAAATTAGCTAGGCGTGGTGGCTGGGACCTGTAATCCCAGCTACTTGGGAGGCTGAGGCAGGAGAATCACTTGAACCCTGGAGGTGGAGGTTGCAGTGAGCAGAGATCTCACCATTACACTCCAGCCTGGGTGACAAGAGCAAAACTCCATCTCAAAAAAAAAAAAAAAGGTGAACTTGAAGGCAGGTCCTGTGTCCATCTTTTCAGATTCTGTATCCCAGCACTTAGGACATAGACAAACACGAAGATGACAATCAATATTTGCCAAAATGAAAAAACAAAAGAAACGTAACATCATGTAAAAGAAGCTGGTTAGGTGGAGAAATTTCTTTACCATAGTCTTGCTTGTGGATCCAGTAGTGACTTTTACATTTTATATCTAAATAGAAGCTGGAGGCTTTGTTGGGGACTCATAGGCATAAAATATTATGCTATTTATTATAGAGTTAAATGCTACAAAGACAAATCTAATTAATAGGCCTATTTTCCTTTTTAAATTCTACTCATAATTTCTTCATAGTTTTTATGATAAAAGGTTGGATTTTGATTAGAACTCCCATGCTTTTGTGTCAGAATTAAAACTGGTATTAGAATAAATAATTCAAAAGCTAGAGAAAGAGTACAATGAGAAGCCATGAGTTGCATTTGAATTATAATATTATGTCTTACAGATTTGGGGTATATACTAAAGTTACCAAGTTGTAGAAAATCAGGCCGGGCATTGTGGCTCACATCTGTAATTCCAGCACTTTGGGAGGCCGAGGTGGGCGGATCATTTGAGGTCAGGAGTTCGAGACCAGCCTGGCCAACATGGTGAAACTCCGTCTGTACTAATAGTACAAAAATTAACCAGGCGTGATGGTGTGCATCTGTAGTCCTTGCTACTCAGAAAGCTGAGGCAGGAGAATCGCTTGTACCCAGGAGGCAGAGGTTGCAGTGAGCAGAGATTGTGCCACTGCACTCCAGCCTGGGTGACAGAGTGCTATGAGTCACCACACCTGGTATGAGCCACCGTGCCTGGCCCACAATGACTTTTACACAAGTTGTTAAATCATCTTACAGATTTTATAATTTGGGGGAAGAAAAGTTTTACTAAATGGTCTTTTAATGGAAACTCTACAAGAACCAGAATCTTTGCTTTGTTCACTTATGTATCCATTCCTAGGCCTAGAAAAATGTCTGACACATAGCGGCAATTATTCATTGAATAAATGGACCCAGCGATAGTACATTAGCTGTGCTATATGCATACATTAAAGATGTAGATTATTGACTTTCAAAAGATAATTAATGTAACTTCTTACTGCTTCTGATCATGTTTGTGAGTTATATTGCTGAGGGACCTTTATCTTCTCATTCTTTCATCTTAACCCAGTGTTATAAAATTGAAATCACCAATATTATTCCATATCTAAAATTAATATCTACCTTGTAAAAAATATCACTCTGCTGCATTTGAGAATAGACTTTTTAGGTAATAATGATGCAATCCGTAGGGTTTTTTGGGGGCACAGGGGGATTCATGCTAATAGAACATTTTATTTTGTATTTTCCCAGAGCTGTAAAACATGAAATTAGGGTAGTATAAGGCATATTTTTACTCTTTTTATAATTTTTTCTAAAAAAAATTAGTGTTTGTTCCCTATATAACTTTTAACTTTATAGGTAAATATTTGTCTCGTTCAGCTCCAGTTTTATGTGAAATAGAGTTTTCAGATTTATGTAGCATGGAAAGTTTTAATACGTCAGAGTTACTGATTTTTGCCAATCATTTTCTCAATTATTTCTTTTTTATCTTTAGTTGATTTTTTTGTAGTGACATTTTGTTTCTAGTCTCATTTCCTTTTGTTTATATTCTATGTATATTTCGTTTTTGGTTACTATGAGAATTACATATAACATCCTAGAGTTATAACATTTTAATTTGAATTTATTCAACTTAAGTTCAATCACATACCAAAATTCTACTGCTATATATATAGCTCTACTCTTTTTATGTTATTGATGTAACAAATTATATCTTTATTCATTGTATACCAGCTAACAGATTTACAATTACATTTTATGCATTTCCCTTTTAAATTATGTAGAAAATAAAAAGCAGAGTTACAAACCAAAATTACAATAGGACTGTTTTTATATTTGTTTATGTATTTACCTTTACCAGAGAGCTTTGTATATTCATACAGCTTGCTTATTTACTTTTATAGTTATTGCCTAGAGTTCATTTATTTCAACCTGAAGGACTTAACACTTCTTGAATGGCAAATTCAGGGATAAATGGATTTTTTTCAGTTTTAAAAAAAAATCCGGAAATGTCTTAATTTCTTCCTCATTTTTGAAGGATAAGTTTTCCAGCTATAGATTTCTCAATTGACAGGTTTCTTCATTATTTTAAATATATAATCCACTGCCTACTGGCCTTCAAGGTTTCTGCCGAGAAATCAGCTGCTAATGTTATCTGGATCCCTATCTGTGAGAGTTGCTCTTCTCTCTGAGTTTTCAACATTCTCCCATTATCTTTTTTGTTTGTTTTTGAGACAAATAATTGTACATATTCATGGGATACAGAGTGATATTTTGATACATGTATACAATGTCCAATGATCAAATAAGGATAATTAGCATATCCATCACCTCAAATATTTGTCATTTATTTGTATTGTGAACAGTCAACATTCTTCTAGTTTTTTAAATTTATAAACATTTACATTTTATTACAGAAATTTAAATTTTTTGATTCTGAAAAAGTCATATATGTATGCAACATCTTTTTATCATTTATTTATATGTTTATGCATCTTTCCTTTTAGTTTTGACATTTTCTATTTTATCATTATTTCAAAAGAACTCTTACCTGTATTTATTTATCAATTATATTTCCCTTGTTTTTTCCTAGTATATTATTTACTTATCTTCTAAAAATCCTCCATATAATCTGTTTATTTTGTTTCCTTTCTATAATTTCTTCAATGATTAGTTCTGTTCTATTTTCCATTAAAATATTTAAATCTTGTATGAATTTTTGTCAGATTAGAAATTTAGGGCATTTCTTAATTTCTCTATATTCTAGTTTTGACTTTTTTTTTCTGACCTAAGAGGTATTTAGAGCACATTTTAAATTTTTTATTTTGACTAATCATTTAAAATGTATACTAATCTTCAATTTAAATAAAAAACTGGTCTATAGTGACAAAAATTACAAATGAGCCTAACTAATAAATTATCAGCTGTGTTTATATGTATAGGCATGCACAGATTTTGGTAAATATGTACATAGTATATTGGTGAGCTTATTTTTATCATTCTTAACTCATTGTGTAGTCTAAACATTGGGGAAAAAATAAAATACAATAATCAGATGGTGTGAATAAGAAAATTGTTGTACTGTTTGTAAACCAAGCAACTGTTTTAACTGCTCCCCTCTTCCTGATTGAGTTCTAAAAGGGATTAATCCATATTGGGTCCTATCATATATGTCACGGTATAACATCTCCAGCTATAAAATGGAAATTTGAGAATAACTTTGCTGCTACTCAGATACATTTTACTTCAAAAACATACACTAAGGTGTTGCTGTTGGATCTTTCCAAAAACATATTCACACAGAACTTTCAATCACACTGAGCCATATTTGAACAATCTTTCAAGGTCAGCTCTGGCATAAGCTAACATTATACCATTTAACTCAGAAATTTCTTTAGTATTTGATTAATGGGTTTATGTTTGATATGTAATGTAATTTTCTAATGCTAAATCAAGTGGTAATTTTGTTAGTCAAGTTGATTTAGTGGCTTGGGAAGAAAGCTTTTAATGTTCCCCTAATTTTTCTTAACTTTGACATGATCCTTCACATGTCTTATTTTGCTTAGTGATTTTTCTTTTTTTTTTTTTTTTGAGACAGGGTCTTACTCTACCACCCAGGCTTGAGTGCAGTGGTGCGATCACAGCTCATTGCAGCCTTGACCTCCCAGACTCAAGCTATTCTTCCACCTCAGCCTCCCAAGTAGCTGGTACTACAGGCACATGCCACCAAACTTGGCTAATTTTTGTATTTTTTGTAGAGACAGAGTTTTGCCAAATTCTCAGGCTAGTCTGGAATTTCTGGGCTCAAGTAATCCTGCCTTGGCCTCCCAACATGCTGATATTACAGACATAAGCCACAGTACCTGGCCAGTTTTCTTTTTTAAAAAATCTATTGGTTATTAATTTGAAGCCTTCCTTTTCATAGCTGTGCTCCTTAATTGGGAGCAAACATGAATGGACCACAACTTAGCCAATTTTCTATATACGATCTTTGCCATCCTAATTTAAAGGAATATTAATTCTTTCTTTTCCTCTTTCATTCCACAAACCTGTATTGACTACACCTAAGTTCTAAATGGTGCACTGGATGTTGAAAAAGTTGATGATGAGCAAGAACAAAATTCCTCCTTTCAGGAGACTTACAATTCAATATGGGAAATATAATTTGTTAAAATATAAAAGTGCAATTGTGTTACATGCTGTACGAAGTACATGTTGACATGTGAGCATATAATAAATGGGCTGGAGGCCAGAGGATTGCCAAAGAGAATGGGCCTCCTGCTGAGACGAAAAGTTGAGCAGGGATTAGTTGGCGAAAGTGGAGGGACGATCCTTTCTAGGCAGGAGGAAGAACATGTACAGAATCTCTGAGGTGTGATGCAACAAAGTCTATATAAAAAACTGAAGAAAGGTCTAATGTGGCTTAAATACAGAAGCTAGTAGGAGAGGAGTTGAAAAGAGGCTGGAGAAGTAGAAAGTGTCTGCATTCTGCAGGAACTTATATTGTATAAAAAGAATTTCTCTTTATTCTAAGTGCAATGTGAAGCCAATGAAGTGCTTTAAACAGGTGATGTGATTTGATTGAATTTATTACTTCACTTAACAAATACTCATTACATGCCCACTGTTTGTCAGAGATTGCTGTAGCCCCTGGTGATACAGTAGGGAATAAAACAGGCAAAAATCCCTGTCCTCTTGCAGCTTATAATGGACTGCAATGTTTAATATGTCAGAGGAGTTCCACGGAGGAGTGACTTCTAAGCAAGAATCTGAAAAAAATGAGGATATCTAAGGAGGGAACAAATGGTTCAAAAGCCCTATAATTGCAAGCAGGCATGATGAAGCAATTGTAGTTGTCGTGACTCTCAACACCGTGGAACTCAAAGGAGATGGAAAGATTCTTTCTCTCCCTCATATATTTTCTCTCTTTCTGTCTATATATATAGAATATGAGACATTTCCCTAATCATTATGTGTAATTACAATTACATATATATATGTATGTAATATATAAACATATATGTAATTGTAATTACACATAATGATTAGGGAAATGTCTCATATTCTTCTCAGAAATAAGCAATATAGCAATTACTGTTTTTTACATTTTACAGTTACAGTTTCAGAGAAAGTTTGATATTTATCTAAAATTTTTCAATGTATGAACTTTTTCATTTGACAAACCATAATTGTACATATTCTTGGGATACAGAGTGATATTTCTTTACATGTATAGAATGTGTAGTGATCAAATCAGGGTAATTTCCACTAATTTAAAATGCCACCTTTGTTATTGTAATTTATGTATATACTATATATATATACACACACACATATATATACATGTCCACATACAGTGTGTGTGTGCACATGTACACACATGCATATGTGTATATAATGCCCAGTATAAGCAATGTGCACAAATAAAATTAGCTAACAGAGATAGTATAGAGTGAGAGGAGAGGTAGATTAATCTTTGAGGAAAAGCACAATTTTATGGCTGAATGGAGAAAGCTGAGGTGGTTTCTAAGATGGAGAATAAGACGAAAAAAGTAAGTACGTTGTTTGAATTCAAGAAAGAAGGGTAAAAGAGAAGAAAGTAGTGGTCTTATCATTAAATGCCACAGAGAGGTAAAGATAAAAACAACATATTGTTTTGGGTTTAGTAATTTAAGGGTTACCAAATTCCGTTTTGGAGGAGGAACAGATTCCATGTCCACTAGAATGGAATGAACAAGAAATGGAGGAGGAAAATAGGTAGTTTTTCAAAAGTTTTCAAAAATATGAAAAGAAGAAATGAAATGGTACTTGGAAGAGATTGTTGAAATGGGAGAGACTATGGTGGCTTGTTTAGAAGCAGTTGAGATAGATCCAATTGAGATAGAGATATTGACTATATAAACAAAAGAATGACAAATTAATAGTGTAATGGATAATTTGACTTTGGCAAATATTGTGAATTTTTGTGAAAGTACAACTAAAAGGCAATGTCACTCCAATAATCACCAGAGTAATCAATTTGCTTATTGCTGTCCCTTTAAATATAGTTCTCTGGTATCAACTAACATGTTTTTAACTAATGATGCTTCTTAAAGAAAAGGGAAAAGACCTTTTTCTTTCTTTCAGTCTTCAATGATTCACTGCTTCATCTCGCTCCACCAAAGATAAATGAAATCTACATCTCTTATACATTAACAATGCATGACAATTTATAAATAGCTAAATTTTTGGAGCTAACTTTAAGTACCTGAATGGAATTTAATCAACCCACTAATCTCCTCACTTCTCAGTTATTTATCAAGTTTATGTCAAGGGACAAGGAAAAATTATCCAAACATTGTTTAAAACAATCATCATTAATTAGTAACACTTATCCAGGGGGGGTTTTAACCTTTCCCCCACTCAAGGATTATTCTAATGTCAGAGTAGAATAAAAAATAAGTGCAGCGATGCTGACTCTTCCAAGCTTAACATTTCTCACAAGTCAATTAGCTTTGTACTGGGAGGAGGGCGTGAAGGGCTGCTTGCGGTAGTTGTGTAGCAGCAGCACAATGGCCGCAGACAAGGAAAACAGTTTCTAGGAATTCCTCGTATATAATTTTATATTTTTGACAAGATTAATGACCCATGCTCCCTTCCTCTCCATTTCTTTTTTTGGAATTCTGTGTTGGTATGCAGTTACTATATTTTATTAAAGGAAATTAGCCTTATCTCATATTTTATTAAAGAAAATTATTATATTATTCCTTTATATTTTTATTAAAGGAATTTATTATTATTATTATTAAAGGAAATTAGCTTTATCTCTTATTATATTTTTTATGACCTTCAAAGTAGTGTCTCTGCTTAAAAGTGTACCCTGGCCGGGCGTGGTGGCTCACACCTGTAATTCCAGCACTTTGGGAGGCCGAGGCGGGTGGATCACGAGGTCAGGAGATCGAGACCATCCTAGCTAACACGGTGAAACCCCGTCTGTACTAAAAATACAAAAAATTAGCAGGGCATAGTGGCGGGCACCTGTAGTCCCAGCTACTCAGGAGGCTGAGGCAGGAGAATGGCGTGAACCCGGGAGATGGAGCTTGCGGTGAGCTGAGATCGCACCGCTGCACTCCAGCCTCTGCGACAGAGCAAGACTCCGTCTCAAAAAAAAAAAAGTACCCTGAAGCACACATCAAGCGACATGTAGAGTTCATAAATTCTGGCCAAATGGTCATACCTCAAACCTAATCAGCACTAAGGCTCTTTACTTGCACTGACAAATATGAACGCTGGGGAATTTGGAAATGATATATAATATATAATAATATATATAATAGATATATAATATATAATATATATAAAATAGATATATAATATATATAATAGATATATAATATATATAATAGATATATAATATATATAATAGATATATAATATATAATAATTTTCCATGTGATTTTCCTCTTAATTTTTTTTCTAGCTGATCCATATGAATTCCTCTTATTAAGAAAAATAAAGCATCCAGGATTCAATGAAGAACTATCACCTTGTTAATCATTCAGAAACATGTTGCAGACTTAAGCCATTTTTGATATAGATACTGAAACAATTACTTGCTAAGAGCAAACTTGAAGGTATGGATAAGGCCCTGAGTCATCTTCCTGAGCTGAATGATAGTTAAGCTGAATGTACGTATAAAATATGATTTTCTAACCACTTACTCGCCAACAAGGAAAACTTTTAAGTAGAGCAGAACCTGAATAGACAAGACATTTCTTTCTTTTGGTAGAAAATGATTTACCATCACTGTCTAGTTAATTGTAGACTAGGTAATTTTAACTTTGTGATTTATTGCCGGAGACATTTTCTTCTGTACTGTAAAGTGTGTGTCAAAAAAAAAAATAGCGATTTTGGAGGATTAGGGGACTTTGATAAATTGCCTGCAATTCTGGCAGTATGAACTGCATATTAATTTTCTCTTTCAAGAACATTTTTATTTATTAATTCCTTACAAAAACTCCCTAAACTTTGGAACAGCTCTCAATTGCCTGTATTCTTTTTTTTCTTATTATGGTACTCTTCTAGAGATTTGGCTTGCATCTATGAATAAGCCAGGACATCTTCAGAAATTGTCTGATTAAAAACACCACCAATGGAATTTCATTAAATTTGTATTGCTCTGACTAATGAAACACACACATCTATGTTGCTTAGGATATTTTACTGCAGTTTGAGTTGTAATAATAGCTCTGTTTAAGATCCATCAGTCACTTGAATCTTCTCTAAGGCTTTGTATGTTAGAAGTTAATTTGCTTTCTTACAAGGCCACATTCTATCTTGTAACTAAACAACTGAATTTTATGTCTTAGCGTAGATGGTTTATTACTTTCTGGTTTTTCTTTAGTAAGAATCCTATAAAAACACTAGTATTTTTCTCTGAGTTTAAAATTCAACACATGCCTACTGATATGGTTAGGCTTTGTATCCCCACCTGAATCTCATCTTGAATTGTAATCCCCATAGCCCCCATAATCCCCACATGTTAAGGGAGAGACCAGGTGGAGGTAATTGAATCATGGGGGCAGTTTCCCCTGTGCTGTTCTTGTGACAGTGAGTTCTCACGAGATTTGATGGTTTTATAAGGGATTCTTTCCCCTTTGCTTGGCACTTCTTCGTGCTGCCTTGCGAAGATGCTGCCTTGCTTCCCCTTTGTCTTCCGCCATGATTGTAGATTTCCTGAGGCCTCCCAAGCTGTACTGAACTGTGAGCCAATTAAACTTCTTTCCTTTATAAATTACCCAGTCTTGGGCAGTTCTTTATAGCAGTATGAAAACAGACAAATACACCTACTATGTAAAACTTAAAATAAAAAAAACCAAAACATTATCTCACTAACATAGGAGCTAATATTTTGGTGTACTTTGTTTAGTGTTTTATATTAAAAATATGTACATATATATTTATATATAATTAAGAACATGTATGTACAATCGTGCATACATCATGTACATACATCTACTTAAGAAAATAGCTATGTAATATACCATTACTCAACTAGATTATAATTTTTTCTCCATTTCTTTATTGTATGTTATTTATCATTTTCTACTTTTTTGTTTTCTCATTTTTATTGCATAATATTTAATTATGCAAAAAATACATTAAATACATAGAAAATATATAATGTAGCTATAAGAATAAAGAACGATGGTAAAACTAATGCTAATACCCACTACCTGACTTAAAGAATATGATACTATTTTTTTCCAATTGAAATCCCCTCAACTACTCAGAATTACTGCTATCCCTTTTATCCTTTCATTAATTTTCTTCTAGTTTTCTCACATGTGAATCTATTTCTAAATACATTTCTTTATTTTGCAAGTTTTTGGACTTCATATAAATGTAACCATATTGTATATATTCTTCTTCAGCTTCTTTTTCACTAAACAATATGTTTTGCTGATACTTACATTCATATGTACAGTAATAGTTGATTTATTTTAATGGCTATATATTATTCCATTGTTAGAATACACCAGGATTTATTTTTACTTATTTTTTTTTGCTGGAAAATTGGGTCTTTTTTATTTTTTGATATAACAAACAATGTTGTAATCATTTTGTATTTACTTCCTAGTCCACTCCTGTAAGTTTCTCTTGAGTACATACTAGCAATGAAGATGCTGAGTCACTGCATATACATACTCACAACTTTATTCTATAAAGTAATATTCTATAAAGTAGCTGTATCAGTTTATACTTTAACCAGTAATGGACAAGATTTTCTGTTACTTCCCATCTTTGTTAATTATTACTTTTAGACTCTAACTTTTATCAGGCTCATGGATGTAAAAAGCATCTCAGGGTGGTTTTAATTTGAATTTATCTGCTCATCTATGAAGATGAGCTTCTTTTCATATAATTATGAGTCATTTTTGTTTTGCCTTCTTTTGTTTATGCATTTTGCTTGTTCTATGTCTTATTTTTCCTGTTGATTTTTGAGAGTTCATATATATTCTAAATGTATATTTATTCACTCATATATATGTTGCAAGTATTACAGTTTATGATTTGTCACCTTATGATATCATCCAAATAGAGAAGCTTTATATTTTGATGTAGTCATGTGTTCATTTTTCCTCCTTAATGTTTGTTTTTCTTGGTTCTATGACCTACCAAAAGTAACAAAAATTCTCATTTATTTTTAATCTAAATGTTTTAAGTATTTTCCTGGAATTCACCTTGAATTGATTTCTATTGGAGATAGGTATCCAATCTAATTTGCCTCATTTGGATAACCACTTGTTCTATTACTGCTGTAACAAATTTCTACAAACTAAGTGACCTAAAATAACACAAACTTATCATCTTACAGTGTACACAAGTCAGAAATCAGGCATGAATTTTAGTGAACTAAAATCAAGTTGTCGACAGGCATGTTTCTTTCTGGCGGCTAGGGTAGAATCCATATCCTGGCCTTTTCTATCTTCTAGAGAACATCAGCATTCCTTTTCTCATTGCCTCTCCTCTCTCTTTTTAAAGCTGGCGATGTCACATTTCTCTGACCATTCTTTCATTGTCACATCTCTCTCTGGACTCAGCTAAGAAAGGTTCTCCATTTTTAAGAACTCATGTGATTAGACTGGGCCCATCTGGATAACCCAGGAAGATCTCTCCATCTCGGTTTGCATCCTTAATCACATCTGATAAGCCTTTATTGCATTCAGTGTAACATATTCACAGGTTCCAGGGTTAGGCATGGGCATCTTTGAGGGCTATTATTCTCCCTACCACATTATTTGCCTAGCATCTTTCATTACATTGTCCATCTATTTACTTACTGATTTCTAATGACATCCAAATCAGTTACAACATTTTATGTAAGCATTGTTTTTATTTTTATGTTATTCCACTAGTCTATTTTTCTACTCATGAATTATGGTACATGAGTTTATTTTTGCAACTTTAAGCTCAATAACATGTTTTAAGATTTCCTCAACTTTCTTTTTCCACTTCTTCAGAAGTTGATTCTTTTGGCCCTTTGGTCTTCTATACACATTTTAGAAATGCTTTGTTGAGGACTAAGAGGAATGCTAAGATTTCGATAGGAATTTCATTGAATTTTGAGTATATTGCCATGCTACAATGGTTAGTGTTTTATACATGAAAATAATATATCCCTTCCTTTTTTCCTAGTATCATGAGATGTTTGTTAGGCATGCATGAATATTGAGCTGTATCAAATGTGTTTTTCTGCATTATTGTGGTGGTGATGTGATTTAGCTCCTTTAATTAGTTAATGTAATGAATTACATTTGTAGATTGCTCTAACTATTGAAACAAGCTTGAATTTCTGGAATAAGCCCAATGTGATATTTATTCAACAAATATTCATTGAGTATACCTAGTATGTAACATGCTTTAAGAATACACCAGTGAACCAAACAGAAATATCTGACATTACAGAACTTAACATTCCAGTATTTGGAGACAGACGATAAAAAAGTGAACATGTATATTTACAGTTTGTCAAGGAATGATAAATGAAGACTCTTAAAGTAGATGGGGAATTGGGAGTGAAGTCTGTAATTTAAATAGGGTGGGCAGGAAAGCTTCACAGAGAATGGGACATTTAAGAATAGACTTGAAGGACAGGCAAGAGCAATCTCTATGTTTATATGGGAGAAAAGGTTCCAGGCAGATGCAGTAACAATGGCAAATATCCTGAAGTAGGATCATGCTGGAGTTTTTGTGGAGCAGCAAGGAGGCTAGTGTGACTGCCACAGAATCACCCAAGGGAAGATGAGAAGATCAGACCAGACCAGCACTTGGGCATCTAATGGGAAAAGTTTCTCAAGCCATCATAAAGATTTCATCTTTACTATAAATACTATGAGAAACCATGGGATGTTTTACAGTAAGAAAGGTGGCATAATATGTTACATGTTTTAAACAAACTCTATAGCTTCTGAGTTGAAATAGATTGTAGGGGCTCATGGCAGAAGCAGAGGGAACATTTAGGAGGCTACTGTAAAGAATATCATGAAAAGAACAAACAACGCTATGTAACATGCTTAAATGGACTGAAGAAGATGAATGAAATCAAAATGATGTTACCTTCACACCTTGAATCAGTACAATAAACCCCCCTCCCCAATCACAAAAGAAAAACTAAACACAAAAACCAGGCTTTGGTTGCTCAGACAATTTTACAGGTGAGTTCTAGCAAACATGCAAAAAACGTTTAATTGCACTGTTACAGAAATTCTTCTGGAGACAAGAAAATAAGGCACATCACCCAACTAATTTCATGATAACAATGTCAATGTATAATAACAGAAAAAGTGGATCTCCAAAGAAATAAATTTATTTGGAAATAAACAAGGATTACAATCTGAGATATTTGTGCTATGATCAATCATAGGTGCATCCCAAGAGGTTGAGGTAAGGAAAATATTTAAAGACAAAAAGAAGTCTATGCAAGCTGTTTTGAAACAAACATCATTGGTCACAGGGCCTGATGCAGGAGCTGGTGTTAACTTACTGGCAGAAACAGCCATTGCTAGGCCAGTGTTCTTGTGAGGGTGGCTTATCTGAAATGCTGCAGTCTTGAGGAATTTTTTATGATAGGTCCTATTATAGAGACACCTACAGGATGAGCTGGACAAACAGAATGTGCTGGGTGGGCAGAAATTTCTTGTGAGTTTATAGAAAGTCCTTGTGATAGTGCTTATTGTGGACACACACACAAGATCCCCTTTTTCATGACTCGGCTCCACTTTGCTTTGGGTCTGATGTAAGTGACTTTGCCTTGTCATTGGCAACTTTCACTGTAGTATAATCTGCACATTAAAGTTACCTAACAATAGTACAAAGAAAGAAAATTAAAGGTATATCTCTTTCAAAAATATAAACCCCAAAATTGTTAGGAAATTGTAGTGAGTATAAAAGATAATTCATTATAATAGACATCTCAAGCTTCACAGAATTCTGACCTTTGCTACACTCTCATCCACAATCTTTTCTCCTAGTAAATGGCAGCTCCTTCTGTTAAGTTGCTGAGGCTTCTTATTGCTTTTTTCTTCAAATAACAGTCAGAACTGAACAACTGTAATCATCCTAGTCCATACAATTGTTACATTTTCATTTAAAGAAGATCAATGTGTGATTCTTTTTTTATATATTTCTGGACAATTCTTTATATTTTAATAGTCAGAATTTGATCAGGAAAACAGAAGACATCCTATGTATTATAATGATAAAAGTTTAACATTAATTAGGGCCTTATGCTATTATTGGAAGAGCTTGGTGAATAGATATTAGAAAAGCAGCTAGACAAAATCAGAAGAAGTCTGTTTTATATCAGAGATCTTAGCCTGACAGTCTAGAGTGTGGGCACAGAACCCAAGCTTATAGGAATTTCTGAAAGGTCTGTAAATCTTATCCAGATGGACAGTGGGAGCTCATAAAGAATTCTGCAAGCCATCACATCTGTCAAACCTGCTATGTCTAATCCTTAAGCCTGCTTTATGTGAAGACCTCCTCTTCACTCCTCACTTCCAGCTCTCATGAGTTTCTTTCATAGGCAAACCCAAACCTGGAACAATGTGCCTGAAGACTTCGGGTGACACAGTACCCAGACTTAAATAGGAGGGGAGCCATGGTGGAAGTGGCCATCCAGCACAATTTTCTTGGTCTTTACTCATAGTTTTGATTCCTTAAAAAAATTAACCACATTAAAATATGTGTTTCATAATCTACATCTAATAATACAAATATTTAAAGTCTTTTCAAGATTGAATATGCTACCCATGTTGCTGCTACCCCCATTTTGTGTGTGTGATTTTTGTGTGTGTGTTAGAAGCTCATGACCTTTGAAACCTGCTCTTGTGAGCTTGCTTTGATGATTTATTTGTCCAGAGAGGATTTTTTTCCTACCTGGCATTTTGGACTGCTATCAACCTGAGACCACTTTGAATTAAATTCTCAGCTTGCAAATTTGGAAGCCACACAGATTGTGTGAGTTCAGGCTGAAACCTGTTTGAGAGCTGGATTCTGGCTATAAACTCTACAGGGAACATTTTCTCTCTCCACTCAGAGCTGAGACCATAGGGAAATTTATTTGCTAGCTCTCTTTGCAGGTTTATTTTATTTATTTTTTTAATTTCTAGTACACGTGCTCACTGAAGGTGTAATACTTATGTGAGAATCTCAAAATCAGTTGTGTTCTTTGTATGACCCTGGTTTTGTTTCCTCCTGCTCTCTTACTTTCAGTGTGTCTCAATATGTCTGCTGATGCTATGGTCATCTTAAATTTCGACTGAGGGTGGATCTTCTTCCCAGCTCACTCACATGGTTCTTAGCTAGATTCAGTTTCTCTCCATTTGTAGGACTGAGGACCTCAGTTCTTCACTTAGGGTTGGCTACAGGCAATCATCAATTTCTTGTAACAGGACTTACACTGGGCCACTGACAGCATGCCAGTTGGTTTTATTCAAATGAGAGTGCAAGAGAAAGAGAGAGAGGGAGAGGGCACAAGATGAAATTCACAGTATCTTATAATCTAATCTCAGAAGTGGCATCTCATTACTTTTGTTCTATTCTATTCAATAGAAACAAGTACCTGGGACCAGCTTATACTATAGGAAAGAGATTATATAAGGGTATAAATACCAAGAGGTAGAGATCATCAAGAGCCATTCTGGTAGCAGCCACAATATCTTATCCAGAATACTTCTTATTCAGGCCTTCAAATGTGCTGTCTTTTCTGGTCTAATGGAAATGAACCTTCCTTCCATACAATTTCTTCTCCTAAATTGTACTCTGGCTCTCTTATCACATACAAATGTCTATGTTAGGTATTTGTGTCTGTCTTGATTCTTGGTAGGCTTCTAAACTCTGTGAATGTTGGACTGTGATGTAGACATCATTTCACCGCACACTCTGTAACCACCAAACCTTAGCAGCTTATTCAGTAAGCACATACTTGGCTCTTAATGAGTATTGCTTAAATTGATGAATTGAATTAGTATTTTACCTTCTCTGTTGCTTAGCTAAGCAGAAGAATTTGTCATTTTTTTAATTTAGTGACTGGTTCTATTAAAAGTTACCTTTGTCTATATCATTTTGTTATACTAAAGCACAAATGTATAAGGTCAAAAAACATTCTCAAGATTTTGTTTAAACCACAGCCCTCAGTTGTGTATATTTATCTCTTGTTTTCATATGCAAGATTTCTCCTGAAATGGGCAACAATTACAAGAGTTTTTTCCCTCTTCTGAACGAAGAAAATAAATATTTAATTCACAAGTTTAGAAAAGTGAACCTGAAAAATCACAGGGCTAGGTGGGTTATGAGGCCTACTGGTACATGATAGTGTTGAATGTGGATTAGAATGAACTCTGTGGATTAGAATCTCAGACCATAGGCAAACATTTACTTGTTTTAGAATAAGCACATTTGAGTCTGCAATAAGTATTACTATTTTTAAGTTGAAAATGTAATTGGTTTCTAATAATAACCATATTGGCTAGCATTATTTCAATCGTGTTTAATGTTTTCCAATGTCATTTCATGTGAGATATCTCTCTTGATTCTTAGTAACAATTTGGACAAGACAGCAAATGCTATTGTCAAAGTTTTCTAAAGAAGAATCTGAAGTGAAATGACATCAAGAGACCTATCAAGACCTGTATCCAGGAAAAGGTAAATCTGAGCTGAAATTGTATCCCTTGTAAATTACCTATGTGACATACCAGATAGTGTTCATGATCCATTTAGTACTCTGTTCTAAAAATGAGACAATATCCATTTATTCACTTGTTCATTTATTTAGTGTTTGTTCAGCCCTTACTGCATATTCCAGGCACTATTCTGACTGTGGCAGGAGTGAACAAACAGGCATGGTTCTTACTTGCATGTAATTACAGTCTTATAGTGAAAACAAGTGTTAAACAGCAAAATCTCCCAATTATTTTAAAATTATAAACTTGATTCGATACTCTGTGGCCATATAATTGTTCCTAATTTGGTTGGAGAAGGGAGGCAGTTAGGGAAGCCTTCCCTGAGTTGGTGCCATTTAACCTGAATTATGATAGATGATAAGTAATTTGTCAGGGGAAAAATACTCCAGGAATAAAGAACAGGTACAAAGGTCAGGTTCTGGGAAGAGCTTGTCTTGGTCCAGGAACTAAAAAATGTTAGAGTGGCTGGATCTGGGAAGGAGACAAAAAGTTATTAAATGAGGCAGCAGGCTTCAGCAGGTGCCACATTGCTCAGGGCCTTGTAGGCCATGCTAAGGATTTGGATGTTAGTGTCAGTACAAACAATTGAGTCATAAGCAGAAAGTAAAAGCATGATTCCATCAAATGTTTTTCTCTAAACAGTAATTTTATAAATACAGGTTAAATGTGTGTGGTCCCAGCTACTCAGGAGGTCCCAGCTACTCAGTATTCCTTTTCAACAAATATTAGGTGCCTACTATTAGCCAGGTACAGCCCTTAGCTACTTTGAATGAAGCATATATTACAAACTGGCAGAAATTCTTAAAGAATCTAAAGATTGTTTATACACCATAATCTCGGTATTTTATAAATTTCTTGAAATTATTTTTATTTACACTGCTTTGCAGAATTTTAACTGGCTTTGAAATAAACAATGACAATAGTCCTCCATGTTACTAGTTTCAAATTTTCCCAATACCTACTAAGACATTACTTAATCCACAGATTTATTGTCAATAGTTTGTATCAAATTGTGATAACATATTTGAAATTAATATTTCAAATTAAAGCAAAATCACAAATTTATACTTTATATTATGAATGAGATTCACAAAAGGAGCATGATAATATATTCTGTTGTCATCGCATACAAAATAATAACATATAGAGTATGAATCAATAATTTTTCAAATACAAAGCTATTACAATTAGGAATACAAAGAAATCATAATTAGGAATACTTCTACAATATTAACACACAATAGTGGTAACACTTGCAAAATGATGGTGGTGGTTTTTTTTTTTTTTTTTTTTTTTTCCCGACAGTCTTGCTCTTGTTGCCCAGGCTGGAGTGCAATGGCGTGATTTTGGCTCACTGTAAACTCCACCTCCTGGGTTCAAGCGATTCTCCTGCCTCAGCCTCCCTAGTAGCTGGTATTACAGGTGCTTGCCACCACACCCAGCTAATTTTTGTATTTTTAGTAGAGATGGGGGTTTCACCATGTTGGCCAGCCTGGTCCCGAACTCCTGACCTTAGGTGATCCACCAGCATCGGCCTCCCAAAGTGCTGGGATTACAGGTGTGAGCCACTGCGTCCAGCCAGTGGTGGGTCTCATATCTCAATGTGGACTTTTACTAACTCCTGATGCCTCAGTTTCCTCATCAGTTGAAAGGAATGAATGAAAGATATGTGTTTTTCATATTACCAGGTAGATGATAAGGAGATTTTAATTTTCTTTTTTTTTAACTTTTATTTTAAGTTTAGGGGCATTTTTTACATAGGTAAACTGGTGTCACAGGGGGTTATTGTACAGATTATTTCATTACCCAGGTATTAAACCTAGTACCCAATAGTTATCTTTTCTGCTTCTCTTCCTTTTCTCACCCTCCACCCTCAAGTAGACCCCAGTGTCTGTTTTATTCTTTGTGTTCATTAGTTCTCATCATTTAGCTCCCACTTATAACTGAGAGTATGCTGTATTTGGTTTTCTGTTCCTGCATTAGTTTGCTAAGGATAATAGAAGGTCCATCCATATTCCAGCAAAAGACATGATATCATTTTTTAATGGTGGCATAGTATTCCATGGTGCATATGTACCACATTTTCTTTATCCAATCTGTCATTGATGGGCATTTAGGTTGATCCTATTCTTTTGCTGTTGTGAACAGTGCTGCAATGAACATTTATATGCATGTGTCTTTATGGTAGAATGGTTTATATTCATCTGGGTATATACCCAGTAGTGGGATTACTGGGTCGAATGGTAGCTCTGCTTTTAGCTCTTTGAGGAATCACTATTCTTTGCACAATGATTGAACTGATTTGCACACCCACCAACAGTGTATAAGCATTCCCTTTTCTCCATAGCCTCACTAGCATCTGTTATTTTTTGACTTTTTAATGATAGCCATTCTGACTGGTGTGAGATGGTATCTCATTATGGTTTTGATTTGCATTTCTCTAATGATCAGTGGTGTTGAACTTTTTTTTTTGTATGTTTGTTGGCTGCATGCATGTATTCTTTTGAAAAGTGTCTGTTCATTCCCTTTGCCCAATTTTAATGGGGTTGATTGTTTTTCTTTTGTAAATTTCTTTACATTTGAAATGTTTTTATTATTAAGTTGAGCTGCCTCATTCTTAGTATGGTTTTTCACTTTAAAAAGCATAAGGGTGGACATGGTGGCATATGCTAGTAATCCCAACTACTGGGGAGACTAATACAGGAGGATTGCTTGAGCCCAGGAGTTCAAGGCTATAATGTGCTATGATCATGACTGTGAACAACCACTGTACTGCAGCCTGGGCAGAGTGACATAGTGAAACCGCATCTCTAAAAAAAGAGAAAATGTAATTTAAATCTTTAAATACCTATGTATATGTGTGTATATATGTATATATATTGCATATATGAAAAATGGTTTGTAGTTTCCATTCACAGCACATAGTAAAATGTCTTAACCTCCTCCCTCCTCCCTATGTGTGTTTTTCTAAGTGTGTGTCTTTTTTACCTTAATTTTTCTCTTAGTGTCTCATAGTCTTCCTAGGTCTCCCTCTTTCTTCTGTCTTTCACACACACACACACACACACACGCACGCATACACACATGTACCTTGAAAAATAGCTTTTCTTTTTCTTAAAACTTCCCAAAGCTTTCATAAAATCAGCCCTCAGGCACTCTTACGTATCTCATCCACTCTTCTTCCTCTCTCCCCTTCCTGAAGCCATTTGTAACTTACTCTATTACACTAGGAAGGGGAAGCAAATATTCATATTATTTTCTTGTTATATCCTTAGCGTTACTAGACCTTTGTGGTTTCTATGGATGAGGGACATAATATTTATTGATTTATTCTAAACTTCAGTCACTCATACCCTTTTATTCCTCCTTCTTCTGTGATATTGGGAGTGTATAGTTGTCATTGTGACAAACCCTTTGCTGTCAGTATCCAAAGTGGATGGGGAGAAAAGGAGGGCTTTGCCAATCATCGTCTCCAGTGCATTTCCCACTGTCAGCGTCATTGTCTAATGCTGTTTGCATCCACACAGCCTAAGGGAACCGTTTAAGTGAGTGACTCCCTCCCTTCACTTCAGCCCATCATCACTTGAGCATTTCTCTCCCTTGAAAAAAGACAAGTGGTGCTTCTAAGACTTGAGTAATTCTGAATATAATTGAGGACTAGATGTTCCTGTTTTATATCCTACAGGGCTGGCATCTCTAATGCTGAAAGTACAACAAAGTGCAGTGGTAGTCACTGAGTGTTCAGCCATGCTGGGTCATCAAAATAAAAGGAGATTGTCTTCCCATTCCTATCAATGACCTCATCTCTACCAGATATATAACTGGAAAAACAATGCATTTGCTTAAACATCCACAGTGAGCCGCCACACTTGTTTGGTGTTGTGGGGAAATGATGGAGAAGCATCCTTGTTTATTAAGGATCCAATTTTGATAGGCTGAGGCATATTTTTCCTCCCAAGTCTGCACATGGTCATGCATTAAATATTAATGAGCATCTTCTCTCTATCAGGCTTTGGGGGATATGTTCACCTCTTGGGAGGTGAACATGATAAATAAGATCCTTTCTCTCATGTAGCATTCTCTCCATTCTTTTTTTTTTTTTTTTTTGATAGGGTTTTGATAGGGACTAGCTCTGTCACCTAGGCTAGAGTGCAGTGGTGCAAACATGACTCACTGCAGCCTTGACCTCATGGACTCAAGTGATCCTCAAGTGATCCTCTTGCCTCCACAACATCCAGCTAACTTTTAAAAAATTTTTTGAAGAGAAGGTTTTGCCATGTTGCCTCAGCCTCCTGAAGTGGTGGGATTACAGGTGTGAGCCGCTGCACCTGGCCACATTTTCTTTTCATTCTTATGGAAGGCAGTAGTCAGCAAAACAGTTAATCAATTGAGAATATATTAGGTTGTTATAGGAACCATGAAAAAATAAAATAGAGTGTGTGTAAAGAAGGCTTGATGGCCAGGAAGCTTTTACAGGGAAGTGACATTTGAACTGAGACCAAATACTTAAAGAAGCCAGTTCTTTGAAGAGTTGATGGGAAAGTATTCCAAGAAGTGGGAATGGCAAGGGGAAAGGACTTAAGATGTAACCTCAGAATGATTAAGGAGGAGCATGGTACAAGAGGATGTCAGAAACATAGCCAGGAAAGAGAGCTATGCTTAAGTATTAGGATTTTATTCTTTGCAAAGGAAAAGTCCATTGAAGCTTTAAAGCAAGGACCTAAGAGTTAACATAATTTTTTAAGGTACCTTAAAAATTTTGCTGAATGAAGAATTCATTGAAGTGAGTCAGGAATGTATGATTTTGGACAACTGACACAATGCCTGAGGCATAGTTTCTTCATATGGAAATTGGAGACAATGATCATATCTACCTTAGCAGATTATATAATGAATTATTTTCCTAGGGCTCCTGTAATAAAGTACCACAAACTGGGTAACTTAAGCAACAGAAATTTATTGCCTCACAATTCTAGAGGTGAGAAGTCCAGATCAAGAAGCTGGCAGGGCTGGGCTGCCTGAAAAGGTGCTAAGGAAGGAACTGTTCCAGTCCTCTTTCTCTCCTTCCAGTAGTTCCTTGGCTTGTGACAGCACAGTGTCAATTCTCATATGGCATCCTCCCCGTGTGCCTGTCTCTATGTCCAAATCTCCCTTTTATTTAAGGACAGAGTCACAGTGGATTAGAACACCCCCATAACATGAAGATTGCATGAAATTATATACATAAATAATTCAACAACATAGCTTCCAAATAGAAAACACTCAGCCTTTGTCATCTCATCATTATTTGTTTACACCTTTGTATTATTGGTATAGCTCTAGTCTTTTGAAAGGTGCAGTTACTCATCTTTGTGTTTTCCACTCCTTTATAGCTAAGTGTAAGGTGCTTTTGCAAAATCCAGTACTGCATATTTGAGAAATGCTTTTTATTCCTACACATACTGCATATACTGTTACACAATTCGATTTTGTAGGTCTAATGAAGTTGGTCTTTCTATGAGTTCCTATGGCTAAAAATAGTCACAATTGTGTACTCCAGTAAATTGTTAGAATGAAGGAAAATAGTTTGAGTGAAATTATCAATCTGGTTTTTCTGACTTCAGCTGTGTGTCATGTTTGGTTAGTCAAGAGAAACATCTAATGTGAGGCCCCTGGAGGACAGCTGATAAGTAAGCATACCAAGTAGAATGGCTACTGGAAAAAGTGTGCCAGCTACAGAGAGAGAGAAAAGAGAGAGTTAATTTACCATTTGCTCAAGTAAGGAATGATCCACAAATTCAACAAAATCTAAGTAGTCTTAAAGGACATGTCATTGACAGATTTATCTTCTAGTCTCCCACTTTGTCTAACACTGCTTCACAACAAAGCAATTTACTGAACCCAGTGGTCTCATTATTCTGGAGGTTTATAAGGTTAAAAATACCTGGAGTTTTGGGAGCAGCAATAGCACTGAAGTGGGATATTAGTAGTGATGCGTGTGTTTGCAGCACCTGTGAACACACAGAGACTGAAGCTTGAAGGCTGATGACCCTGAGTTAGGGCAAAAGATAAAACTTTTTATTAGATTTTTTTAATGTCAAGAAGAAAATTATTTATCTCCACGTTTCTTGAATATTATCCTCTTACAATTAGGTCAATGATTCTCACCCCAGTTATATATTAAAATTACCTGGAGATATATAAAAACTATCAATGTTCTACTCTTCTACAGATTAAATCATCATCACTGAGGGTGGCCCTCCAGCAACCAGGTTTGAGAACCACTTTAGACCAGAATTTTTCTCTGTGCCATTCAGTAATGACAATGATAGCTGTAGGATATGCAAATTGCAGAAAGACCACTGCAAATGATTTAGCTTATCCCCAAACAGCTGAACTATCTTAAGCCTCATGGCTACTTTAGAGTGACCAAATCCATGTAGATGCCAGAAGTTGTGTCATACACCTATTTCAAGGGACACATAGAATTTCCCTATATATACCTACACCTCAAGGGTCATGTCGGTTTACCATTCCCCTAAACAACAGCTTAATAGTATAAACTGCTGAACTGCTGTCTGCCTAATATTTATTGTGGCTATACTTCTTCTTTTCTGTATTAAAGGCCACTGCTTTTCCCAGCTTGCTCTTTGTTCTCCATCATCTGTTGTGGGTCACTTGTGCTGTTTTTAACACCCGTGTTGCTGAAGTCATTTCTCCAATTCATGATCCATGAAACTACTTCAGCAGTGAAAATGGCACCCCTCAGGTTCAAGTCAACATTTTTATATTTCCCTCTAGGTCAAGATCCAAGCTATGGAAGAAATCAGGATATGTCAATTTTCTAGAGCAGCCAAGTTTTCTAAAAGTCTACCTAGCCATGTAGTTATGTAGCCTCACTCTCACTTAAACAAAGAAAATTAAAAAGCACACCAGAAAAGACTTTTCTTGTTAAAAACACATGTTTATTGTAGAAAATATAGTAAGGAAAAAGAAGAAAATATAAGGCAACTAGAATTTCTCTAGTTAGAGATAACTATTATTTATTTGAGTGTGTGTATATATCTATATATATATATATATTGACATTCAGCTCTTATGTACTAGATACACACATCTACTGTTTCATAAGCTTTTTTCACAGAATAGATTATAATCAGTTATGTTTGTTATCACCACAACATTTTCTTCTTGAAGACCTTCTGGAATGAGGCATTTGCTTTTCTATCTAGAGACCCTATCCTTTCAAAAGGTCCTTTCTCTGTGGAAAGAGCTATTCTGGCCACAGTTACTGCCAAGAAATGAGGTGTTAGAAAAGGCCTAAAGTTAAGTGCAGAACTGCTGTGTTTTGATGAATATTCTGTTGTTTTGAGAGGAGGTAGAAGCATTCTCAGCTTCAGGATATTTGCTCACTACTCATTAGTCTCTCTGAGAAGTAGCAAACTTCAAAGGTTAAGTATGAAGAGATGAATTGTGTAATGCCTAGATGTCAATAGCAGAGAAGGTATCTGAGCAAATTCAGAATTTTATCCCTGTCTCCATGGGCCTAGTGTGAAGAACAGTCATTTGTGTAAGTGGGTCTTTGTGTATATGGTACTGAATCAGGTCACTGAGTCAGAAACTTAGAGCTGTAAGGAAAGTGAGGTGCTCTCCAGTCCAGTGTTCTGGAATTTCTTCTGCAGTGGCCCCCAACAGCAGGTGGCAGCATCGTCCATGATTGTATTCTTAAGTGACATGGTATTACTCTTTCTATTTGCAATCCATTTCATTGATGGATAGTTCTAGAGATCTGAAATATTGAGATTTAGCTCAGTGTTGTTTATATGAAGATAAATTCCACTTTTCAACAACTCTCTTGTATGTGTCTAACGTCTGCCGCATGGAACGTCGCAGATTATGCTTCATACTTGTCTTCCTGAGTCTTCTTTATCCCGAACTTCCTGAGTTTTTGAATGGTTGACATGCCAGCTGGCTTTCTGCAGATGTACTTCTTGTGTGTAAATTTCCTTCTCTGTGAGGTATTCATATTGAACATGACCTCCAAGTGTGTTTGGGTCTGTGCAGAAGACAATAGGACTGTGATTTCTGATGATTAAAACCTGGATTGTATGTTACTGTGATCAGACCCTGAGACTGAGTTAGCAAGTTTTATAGCATCTGAGTCGCTCTGTTGGAGGAAAGTGCACGTGATGGGCATTTGCTTGCTTCCCCACCAGATTCTCTACCCTCACCCTTCCTGCAAGATTCCCTAGGAAGCTGACTTCTGCTGAATGCAACACTCAGGTTCTCTGCTTCCTAGATTCTAGTTGAGTTTGGTCCATGGGAGGCCTTGGCAGAAATTTTGAGAGTAAGAGCAAATAATTACTTAACCATTAGGAAAAAATAACATGAATGTGTCCTTCTATCCATGGCCTCAGTTCCTGTTGGGGAGCCTCGGTGCCAATCCCTCCGTGCATCACCATTTCTAATTAGTTCCTGTTTTAGTCTGCTTTTGCGTGTGTGTGTGTGTGTGTGTGTGTGTGTGTGTGTGTGTGTTGTTATAAAGGAATACCAGAGGCTGAGTAATTTTAAAGAAGAGAGGTTTATTTGGTTCACAGTTCTGAAAGTGTGCAAGAAGCATGGTGCCACCATTTGCTTCTGGTGAGGGCTTTAGGCTGTTTCCACTCATGGCAGAAGGGGAAGGGAAGCTGGCATGTGCAGAGATCACGTGGCGAGAGAGAGGGGTTTGTGCCAGGCTCTTGTTAACAACCAGCTCTTGTGGGAATTAAGAGAGCTAGAACTAGGTGGGCACGGTGGCTCACACCTGTAATCCCAGCACTTTGGGAGGCCGAGGCAGGCAGATCACCTGAGGTCAGGAGTTTGAGACCAGCCTGGCCAACATGGTGAAACCCCGTCTCTACTAAAAATACCAAAAATTAGCTGGGCATAGTGGTGGGCACCTGTAATCCCAGCTACTCTGGAGGCTGACACAGGAGAATGGGTTGAACCCATGAGGTGGAGGTTGCAGTGAGCCAAGATCGCACCACTACACTCCAACCTAGGCAGCAAAAGTGAAACTACATCTCAAAAAGAAAAAAAAAGAGCGAGCAAGAACTCACTTGGATGGCACCAAGACATTCGTGAGAGGTCCACACTCAGGACCAAAACACCTCCCATTAGGCCCCCCCTCCAACAATGGGGATCACATTTCAACATGAGTTTGGAGTGGTCAAATATCCAAACCCTAGCAGTTCCCTTAACCCTGGAAAGAGACCCTTCATTAAACTCTTTCTGCTTAATCCTTTGAGAGTGCAACAATTTCCTGCTAGGACCCTGACAGATAGAGGGACCATACAGATCACTAAAATGCTGAGGAATTTTTCAAATGAACTGCACCCAACAGACCTCCCTGATTCTGAATATATCAAACTTTTATTTTTTATTTTATTTTATTTTATTTTTTGAGACGGAATCTCGCTCTGTCGCCCAGGCTAGAGTGCAGTGGTGCTGCGATCTCGGCTCCCTGCAACCTCCACCTCCTGGGTTCAAGCGATTATCCTGCCTTAGCCTCCCGAGTAGCTGGGACTACAGGCATCCACCAGCATGCCCGGCTAATTTTTTATTTTTAGTAGAGACGGGGTTTCACCATGTTGACCAGGCTGGTCTTCAACTCCTGACTTCATGATCCGCCCACCTTGGCTTCCCTAAGTGCTTGGATTACAGGCGTGAGCCACTGCACCCAGCCAAACTTTAAAAAAAACCCCAAATAGTACTTTGAACTTCACCCGCAGGGAGTTATTCAAATTGGTTGTCAGCCAGTTATTTCAGGTTGTTGAGATCATTTGGCTCTTGATCTTATTAATCATCTTAGCCTTCCCTTTCAACAATTTGCCGACTTTGTGCAAATTTTATTAATATGTGATCTCTGTCTTTATCCATGGAGAGGCAGTATAGTATCATGAGGAATAATAGACTTTGGAGTAGGCAGAAATTAGGTTTGAATTACTAGCCACGAGGCTTTGGAAACATTACTTAAACTCTATAAGCTTCAACTTCTTTATCTATAAGGTAGGTATAAAACCTGAAAGTTTTGGCATGAGTTTAGTAAAACTGTCTGTGAAGCCCTTGTGGACTGCTTGGTCCATGTAGGCATTTGATAAATGGTGGCTTTATATAGAGGAGGGAAATGCAAGCTATCTCAAAAAGAAATCAGGGAAATAAGAATGCCATCTGAAATCTGTCATATGAGAATGAAAGGAGCATAGACAGGTTTTGAGTGTGGGGTGAGGAGTAGGGGAGGGGAGGAGATAAGTGAACTGCCCCTCAGACTTCCAGGGAGGAGAAAAATGATGTCACTGGGAACTGCAGTCATTTGAAAAGATAGCAATCAAGCATTTCTTTCAGAGCCCTGTTCATCTTTCAGTGGCTTTGCTTCTCCAGATGCTTTTGCTCCTTCAATTATCTCTGCCTTCTCCCACCTCCTCTCCAACCATCTCTTCCCTTCCTTAATTCACAATTTTTCTCCCTCTTTTCAAGGCATAGTGCTTTGATTTATGAATTAGTTCTATGTTTCTGTTTTCTAATTTATTAGTTTCTGCTTTCTTATTTATTTATTTTGAGATGGAGTGTCACTCTGTTGCCCCAGTTGGAGTGCAGTGGCATGATCTCGGCTCACTGCAACCTCTGCCTCCCAGGTTCAAGAGATTCTCCTGCCTCAGCCTCTCAAGTAGCTGGAATTACAGGAGTGCGCAACCAAGCCTGGCTAGTTTTTGTATTTGTAGGAGAGACAAGATTTCACCATGTTGGCCAGGCTGGTCTGGAACTCCTGACCTCAGGTGATCTGCCTGCCTCAGCCTCCCAAAGTGCTGGGATTACAGATGTGAGTCACCATGCCTAGCCTTCTTTCATATTTATTAATACATTATTTCCACTTTCCTAAGGATAGTTGTTGTTCAACCTTTACTAGCTTTTTTGTTGTTCATACTTAATACATTTATTTTTATTGTGCTATAGCTATTTCCCACATGTGATTTTTTTTTTTTTTTTTTTTTGAGATAGGATCTTGCTCTGTTGCTGAGGCTGGAGTGCAGTGATATGATCATGGCTTTCTGAAGCCCTGAACTCCTGAGGTTGGGTGATTCTCCCACCTTAGACTCCCAAGTAGATGGGATTACAAGAAGTACCACTATACCTGGCTATTTAAAATTTTTTTTTGGCGTGTGTGGAGATGGAGTCTCCCTATGTTGTCCAGGCTGGTTGTGAACTCCTGGCCTCAAGTGATCCTGCCACCTTGGCATCTCAAAATGCTGGGATTACACATGTGTAATATTTTTATTATCACTATTTTCCACATATTCTGGAAATTTTATTTGGATTTCTTTTTTTTTTTTTTTTTGACAGAGTCTTGCTGTGTCATCTAGGCTGGAGTGCAGTGGTGCAATCTCAGCTCACTGCAACCTCCACCTTCTGGGTTCAAGGAATTCTCCAGCCTCAGCCTCCTAAGTAGCTGGGATTACAGGCATGCGCCACCAGGCCCTGCTAATTTTTGTATTTTTAGTAGAGACAGGGTGTCGCCATGTTGACGAGGCTGGTCTTGAACTCCTGACCTCAAGTGACCTGCCCACCTTGGCCTCCCAAAGTACTGGAATTACAGGCATGAGCCACTGTACCCGGCCTGGATTTCTTTTTGACATAGAATTATTTAAGAGAAAGCTTTTAAATTTCCATGCTGTAATTTCTAGTTTTGTTGTGTCATAATCAGAGAATATAATCTGTAGCATTTCTACATTCTCTACTTTGCTTAGATGTTTTTGGGGTGGGGTGTGTAATATGTACTCAATTTTGTAAACATTTTATGGACATATAAATTTCAATGTTTACTTTTTCAGGCTATAGGCTTTGCTACATAATTTTTGTGTATTTTGTGGTCCTCATATAGATTTTTTAATTATCTTTTTGCTGTGATAGAGATTAGAAGGGTAAATTAATGTCTCATTTACCATCATTTTTCTTTCTGTATCTCTTTTCATTTCCTGATGCTTTGGCTTTATGAAATCTTTATGTATAAAAATTGTGCACACATATCTTTATGCACAGTGTTTTGGATTTTACCCTTCATAATGAGCTTTTTTCTCTCCTTTGAATTTGACCTGGCCTGGTGTTAACAGCCCAGGTGTAAAATTCCAGTGAGAAAGAAGTCTGATGAGGAGTCAGTAGGATCTTTTGGTTGCTGAGAACTGCTCAGTACCATGGACAGCTCCCTGCACTCCAGGAAACATCCTGATTCAGTGTCTTGAGTATTGTGAAGCACAGTTAGAGCGGAAACATGGAGAATCACCTTAAAATGGCAAATTGGCTTCTGGTCTTGCATAAGACTTCATTGAGGCCTAAGGGGCTATGCAGGTCTACTGTCCAAAGTACAGAGGTTATTCCTAGTGTCTTTAATACTACTGTCCCTTTAGGCAAGATTATCCTTATGATAAGGGAGACTGAATTAAGCTATTTTGGCTGAGGCATATTTTTATAAATTCATCCAATTAGCTTCCCTTGTTGTAGTTTTGGCTCACCAAACATTGTTCTGATTATAATTTAGCATCCCATATAATTTCATCTGCAGGGAGAGTCTGTACTAGGCATGACAATGCTTACATATCAGCCCATGTGACTGCAAGAGTCTCAGTATAATTTGATAACATGGCACTCAGATTCTAGACATTATTCTCTGTGTGCTTAGTGAGTGTGATGACATAACCTTCAGAAAGATTCATCCTTTCTCACATATTGATAAATCAACTTTTACATCTACAAAGTTGAAAGCCAGAAATTAAAACCTTATTAATTCACTAAGGCATCCCTATGATGGCAGTCTTCCAACTAGCTCCATTCTGGGGCACTCTGACATCATTGTACACTTTCCAATGAAAGCAGGGAGTGTATGTGATTAAAGGGAGAGCCCTGTGGCACTCCTGAAAAATCTCCCCTCCCAGTTCACATTGACTTATTAACCAACACTCATGATCATGTGAAACTCTAGAACTGGATCTGGATGCCTGGCAGGATGACATGGTGTGAGGCTCAAGCAGCACTGTGGGAATTCAAGCATCTGTTTATTTCTGAGAGAAAAAGTGTAAAGCAAAATAATATCTTTTAACAAACGTTTGTATTTGACTAAAAAGGAAGCAAGCACTTAATTTATGAATTTGCTAATTGCTCTTCTGAGCTGAGAATATCTGTGTTGAATATTAGTCATTATCCAGATTTGGCACAGAATAATCCCGAGGGTTAAATGACATTGTTCCTACAGTGGGCACCTGAAGACTGGCTATAAAAGCAATCCTGGCCAGGGGCGGTGGCTCACGCCTGTAATCCCAGCACTTTGGGAGGCCAAGGTGGGTGGATCACGAGGTCAGGAGTTTGAGACCAGCCTGGCCAACATAGTGAAACTTCATCTCTACTAAAAATACAAAAAAATTAGCTAGGCATGGTGGCAGACACCTGTAATCCCAGCTACTTGGGCGGCTGAGGCAGGAGAATCACTTGAACTTGGGAGGCAGAGGTTGCAGTGAATCGAGATTGCGCCAATGCACTCCAGCCCCGGCGACAGTGTGAGACTCTGTCCAAAAAAAAAAAAAAAAAAAAAAAAAGGAAAGAAAAAAAAAAGAAAAAAAGAAAAAGAAAAAAAAAGGAAAAATAAATAAGTAAGTAAATAAATAAATAAATAAATAAATAAATAAATAAAAGCAACCCTAACACTACTGAGGCTATTGACAGTGGCACTTTGCTCTTCTGTTAGGACCTTGGGAAATTTTTTTCCCCCTGAATACAGTATAATAAACTTGGTTCTTATTTCTCTGTCTCTCCCCCTCCTTTTCTCTTCCCTCCCCACCACCACATGCACACACACAAACAGACAGATTTGTTTATATTTGACTTTCTAAAAACCTGTTACTAGAAAGGCACATTAATACATTTCTCCTGTGCTGATAGTAATCAGGCAACTCTGGTTTCCATCAGAGGCAATTTCTTACGTATTAAATGCCAGAAAAAGGGCATCGCTCCATTTTTGTAGAGAGCCTTTCTTTATGAAGACTAATGACCACATTAGTTAGTCAGTCAGTCAATAATACTTACCAAATGTCAGTAGAGCAGAAGTGAACACCAACAGAAAATCACATTTTACAAATGCAATTTACTTGGTATCCTAACATGCCATGTCATAATAATTATTGAGGCTTTTCTTCTCTGCTGCATTGGTCTAATGAATGTGGCTAGAAAAATATGGGTGCGCATACATTTGACTAGGGGTATGCAGAGTAAACAAATAAATAACTTCAGCTAATAAAGTGCTATATAAAAATAAAAGAGTCATAATACAAAGTGATGAGAAAGATAAGCTACTTTACATATGGTGATGAGTGAAGGCTTCTTGGGGAGGTTGACATTTGAACTGAATCCTGAATGAGGAGAAGCTAGTCCTGCAGACATTGGGGAGGGGCCTGCATATACAAGGACCCAAAGTGAGAGGGAGCTGGTTGTTTGAGTTGGGTGAGAATATAAACAAACAGAAAGGAGTGTAGCTGTAGTTTAGTGCATCACAGTGAGATGGAGGGAGGTGGGAGTTAGTGCACCAGGGTGAGTCCAGATGGGGCAGGTTCTTGTAGACTGCGGTAGAGTTTGGATTTTATTTTAAGTGTGAATGGGAAACCTTTGGGAGATTTTAAGTTATGAGGTCACATGACATAAGGGAGACCAACTGAGTGAGAGATGATGGTGGTTTGAAGCTTGGTGATAGCTATAAAAATGGAGAAAGGTACACACATTTAGGTTATATCTTGGAGATGGTGCTGACAGGACCTGCCAATGGATTGGACATGGGAGGAGAGGGAATGAGAGAATGCACATATTTCCACACATAAAATGTTAACTATTATGTCATACCAAATGCATGATTCAAAAAGTAAAACCTAAACTTCATCAAAATTAAAACTCATTCCGTGAGGCTGGGCGTGGTGGCTCCCCCTGTAAACCCAGCACTTTGGGAGGCTGAGGTGGGCAGATCTCCTGAAGTCAGGAGTTTGAGACCAGCCTGGCCAACATGGTGAAACCCTGTCTCTTCTAAAAATACAAAAATTAGCCAGTTGTGGTGGTGGGAGCCTGTAATCCCAGCTACTCGGAAGGCTGAAGCAGGAGAATTACTTGAACCCGGGAAGTGGAGGTTGCAGTGAGCCAAGATCACACCACTGCACTCCAGCTTGGGTGACAGACTGAGACTCTGTTTCAAAAAAAAAGAAAAAAAAAACACATTTTGTGAAAGACTCTGTTAAGAGGGCAAAAAGGTAAGCTACGGACTGGGAGAAAATACTTGAAAACCACATATCCAACAAAGGACTAGTATATGGAATATATAAAAAATTTTCAAAACTCAACAGTATGAGAAAATCCAATTAGAACATGGACAAAAGACATGAAGACATATTTCATGCACACAGTAACACAGATGCCAAATAAACACATGAAATGATGCTCAACATCATTATTCATTGGGGAAATGCAAATTAAAACCACAAGCTATCAGTTTGGTAATGAATTCCTATAATTTTATATTGCTTTGGCATCCACTTTAAATATAAGCTGGGCTTTCTCACACCAGAGGCAGGACTCCGTCACCTTGGACACAGTTTTCGGTTTGGTGCTCCCTTCCCCCAGTTCCTCAATGTGGTGGATCCAGATATCTGCCTTATACAACTGCTCTCTGGTGACTACTTCACTAGGTGGTGGCTAGATGCAGGCTGCTTGACTGGCCCTGCTGATACTCACACACGGAACGAACTATTCAGACATGCCATAGTGACTACCTCTCTGTCAGTGTGCAAAAAAGAAATATGCAACTACCATGTAACCCAGTAATTGAACTTCAGTCATCTCTTCCAAAGAAATGAAGACTTGCATTAATACAAAAACCTGTACATGAATGTTTATAGTAGCTTTATTCATAACAGCAAAAACTGGAAACTATTAATATATGTCTTTCATTGAGCAAATAGTTAAACTATGGTACATACATACATACCTCAGTCAGTGTGGCCCCCTGGAACTCATGCCTGCTTGCTTTAAATCCACCAATTAAATTCCCTGCTGGAAACTTGTTTGGATAGCTCTCTGGACCCAATAAGGGTGCTGGCCCACAGGTCCCTTTCTCTCCCTGACCTCTGCGTATATGGCCACCAGGAGTGTCATGAGCCCTCAACCTGTAAGTAATAAAATCTTTATTTCCATCTTTGTCTCTCCTAATCATTGAAAGTGTGCTCTCTGTCTTAAAAATCCTAAATTGAAACAAACTTACATCTATTAAAACGAGTAAAATAGGCCAGGCACACGTCTGTAATCTCAGCACTTTGGGAGGCTGAGGCGGGAGGATGACTTGAGCCCAGGAGTTTGAGACCAGCTTCTCCAACATAGTAAAACCCCATCTCTGCAAAAAGAAAAAAGAGAAATCAGCCAGGCATGGTGGCAGATGCCTACAGTCCTGCTACTGGTGGCTGACGCCCCACCCTACTTCCAGCACTGAGGTGGGCAGTTCACTTCAGCCGGGAGGTCAGGCTTCAGTGAGCCTTGATTACACTACTGAATTCCAGCCTGGGCAACAGAGAAAGACCCTGTCTCAAAACAAACAAACAAAGTAAAATAAAAAAACAAAGACAATTAAGGCTAGAAAGGATGTAGAGAAACTAGGTCATTGATACGTTGCTGGTGAGAATATAAAATGATACAGATGCTCTGAAAAACAGTTTGGCAGTTTCTTTAAAAAAGAAATATGCAACTACCACGTAACCCAGTAATTGAACTTCAGTCATCTCTTCCAAAGAAATGAAGACTTGCATTAATACAAAAACCTGTACATGAATGTTTATAGTAGCTTTATTCATAACAGCAAAAACTGGAAACTATTAATATATGTCTTTCATTGAGCAAATAGTTAAACTATGGTACATACATACAATGGAATACTGTTCAGCAGTAAAAAAGGAATGAACTATTGATACATGCAACAACCTGGATGAATCTCCAGAGAATCATGCCGAGTGTAGAAAAGATAAGCCCTAAAATACATACTGTATTATTCCATTTCTACAGTATTCTTGAAATGATAAAATTACAAAAATAGAGAACAGATAAGTGGTTATGGGTAAAGGAGAGGGTGGCAGCAGGAGGGAAATGAGTGTGGCTATAAAAGGGCAACATGAGGGATGTTTGTGGTGATGGAAGTGATCTATCAATGCCAGTATCTTGGTTGTGATATTGGACTATAGTTTTGCAAGATATTATCACTGGGGAAACTGGATAAAGGCTACATGGGATCTTTCTGTGTTATTTCTTACGAGTGTATGAGAATCTATAATTATCTCAATATAAAAAATTTACCTTTTTAAAAAAGTTAACCATTTGACATGGTTCTAATACATATCTATATCTATATCTGTATCTATCTATCTATCTCTCTATCAATCAAATAACATCTTTCACTTAAATGCACCACAGAATTTGTTGTGGAAGTTTTGGCTAGGGCACAAGGTGAGTAAATGCAGTATTCGCAAGTGAGGATTGAGACCACCTGGTTGCAGGACTTATAGAAGAAGTAGAGCATAACTAGCTGTAAGGCTTTAAATTACATTATCCACTTTGAAAGTCTAAACTGGTTAAGCATTAGAGCTGGAGGAGAAAATTTTTGGAAATTATTGTTAGGCTGTGATACCACCCCTCTCCTCAAGAGGAGGGGGTAGCAGGCAGTCCCTTTTCACCATAATTCAAGGGAGGAAGCTTAAAGAGACCACTAGAAGAACTTAAGGTCTTGGAGACATCGATGTGTTGACCTCTCATTTGGAAAATCCAAAGAGCTAGAGTTGGTTAGTTCCTCAGGGGGTAGAGACAAAAAGGGGTAATGTGAATGTTTAGAGGAGCCATTTTGTAATAGGATTTTTGGTTTTCCTTAATTCCAGCAGTAAAATAAATATTACTTCCAGGTTTGCTGGGGACAAACTATGTGGTTTTCCCATGAACCAAATGTGGACCACTCACTTAAAGCCAGCATGAATCTTGTTAGGTTATGCTCAAAAGGATGGCCCATAAGGGTAAACAGTCCCTAGAGAAAGAATCCAGGTAAATAAAGGTCCAGAAGAAACAGAGATGCCTTAATCCTTGTCATGGGAACCCACAGGTTGGGTAATGTGGATCTTGGAAGAACCCATGAAAATGTTAATGAGAAAAAGAGTTAATTTTAAATATCTGTCAAGTCCAGAAAGTTTCAATGCTAGATCATGAAGAAAGTATCAGTTTAGTTTGAGCATTTCCCTTAAGCTGCTTCCATTAAATCTTCTCCTTCCCCACACTCCAAACCTGGGAAGCACTGTAGGCCTGGTGAAACCAAAGTTGGCGCATAACCATGGGGAAAGAAGGGAGCAGCAGAGATGTGTCCTCTTGTCTCTACCTCCCAGACTGCTGGTATCATGCCTGCAACTGGCCTGGAAGTGCGGCAGGAGAGAGAAGCCTTAATTCTGTAGCCAGAATTAAATTTTAACCTCATATTTTGGTTATTAAACTGAGACTAAAGGCTAAATAATCAAATAACTATTTCTAATATTTAGGAATGAACACAAAATGCATAGAAGACTGCTTAAGTTTACATTCAGGGGAAGAGGAAGAACCAAATCCATAGAAAGGGCAGTAGAAGAAAAATAATTTTTCTTAATTTTACACTATGAGTCCTACTTGTTCAATATTCTGAATAAAAAGGTTCTCTTCCTATATATCTTAGCAAAATTTTTCCAGATTATACGCTAGCATATATATGTGTGCACACATGTGTATACATACATACATTATGTGTTTCCCACCATAGTATGAATACAATATCTGTTTCCAGCAGCTGTGAATGTAGACTTAGATACGGATGTGGTAGAAGTGCTCCTTCATAGTACAATTTCCAGTTTTCCTGAATACAGTACTACCAATGTGAAACTATATTTTTGCTTGAGATAAGTATTGCCATACACAAGGTTCAGACTTCAGAGAAACAGCAAAACAGTTGGAAGGTTAAGTTGGAATCCAGTTCATATCCAGGATGAGAAGATATCCAATTTATTTCTTTTCAGTAAAGCTTTTCGAGTTTCTGTGGCCACTAGGTGAAGCTGTTTTTCTCTGCTAAATTTCACCAGAATCAACATGTTTTGGCTTATTGTACATTTGACCCATAAATGGATGGGAGAAAAAAACAGTAGATGTAATTCAAATCAGAGGGAATTCTAAATAATCAATGTCTGACCGGTGAATACTAATTCTGCATCACTCATAAGTTATTTGATATAAATGCCCAGAGGAGAATGCTGGGAAGCCCACAATGAACAGCAATTCCAGTGATTACTTTTGGATGCACTCATTCATAATCTGAAACAGATTTAGTGTGTTTGCCATAATTAGTTTTATTATCTTTCTCCTGAGCATATGTACAAAGATTCTCTTTCATATTCACTCAAAACTTAATTCTTTGAGGTAAAAATTATGGTATTTGTATTGGCTATAATAATGTGACATACTTCTAAAGAATGTATACAACTAAATCCATTTTTATGGTCATCTAGTATAAAGTAAAAAAAAATTTTAGTAATTTTCTAATTTATAATAACATATTTTTAATGGCACAAAGTTTACCATTTACAAACAGTAGTTTGTAAATTTTTAGACCAGATCTTTTATTGTTCTGGGTTATAAAATGATATAAATATTTAAAATCCCAAACATATCATTAATAAAAATAAGTAGGACTTAATGATATTATATTTTCAGTGTCTTTGAATGCAAGCTCTATTTTTGATTCATCATAGAATGCACTTCCTTTTTCTGATTGTTTTTACCATTTCAAACTTAACTTAGGGAGAAAATACTCAACTTCAGGGAAAGAATTAAGTTGTAAAAACAAACAAACTAAAAACACAGTGTTAAAGTATTCAGACAGTTTGAATAAGCTACATCACAGAATTTCATATTCTTTAAACACCACAAAGTTAATGCCAAGAAGTATTTGCCTGATAAACAATTTCATTTCTTATGTAAGTATGGTAACTTATTAGAGAGATCCCTACAAGCAACTTATACATACAGCTATTTCACTTACCTTGACAAGTTTTTAACTAGCCATTTTCTGTAATGCATAGAGATACAGTGACCTGCTAAAGAAAATAAATTACAAAAGAGATAAATTACAAATTACAAATAAATTACCTTTTTTTCTTTTCTTTTTTTTTTTTTTTTTTTTTTTTTTTTTTTTGAGACGGAGTTTTGCTCTTTTGGCCAGGCTGGAATGAGTGCAGTGGCACAATTTCAGCTCACTGCAACCTCCACCTCCTGGGTTCAAGCAATTCTCCTGCCTCAGTCTCCCGAGTAGCTGGGATAACAGGTACACGCCACCATCCCCAGCTAACTTTTGTATTTTTAGTAGAGATGGGGTTTTGCCATGTTGGCCAGGCTGGTCTCGAACTCCTGACCTCAGGTGATCCACCTGCCTCGGCCTCCCAAAGTACTGGGATTACAGGTGTAAGCCACCATGCCTGGCCTACTTTCATTTTAAAGGTATATTTCATTTTACTAAATTTTTTATCCCACAAATATTTAAGATAGGTGCATTATTAATATTTTTTTAGATAGGAATAAATTTACAGGGAATGTTTCAGTAATTTTATATAAATAATAAAACTTTTATTGAAAGTAGTATTTTATATGCATTTCCTTCCTAGTTATAGGTATTTTTAAAGCCTATTACTTTTCTGTCTTTAAAAATGTCGTAAACTTTTTTTTTTTTTTACAAACTTGTAATGCTATGTAGCATGAATTAAAAAAATTCAGGATAGGCCAGGTGCAGTGGCTCATACCTGTAATCCCAGCACTTTAGGAGACCAAGGCAGGAGGATCGCTTGAGGCCAGGGAGTTTGAGATCATCCTGCATCACATAGTGAGACCCCTGTCTCTAGAAAAAATAAAATAAAAAATTAGCTGGGTGTGGTGATGTGCACCTGTTGTCCTAGCTACTTGGGAGGCTGAAGTGAGAGGATTACTTGAGCCCAGGAGTTTGAGATTATAGTGAGCTGTGATCACACCACTGTACTCCAGCCTGGGCAGCAGAGCAAGAGATTCTTTTTGAGGAAAAAAAAAAAGAAGAAAGAAAAGGAAAGAAAAAAAGAAAAAGAAAGAGAGAGACACAGAAAGAAAGAAATAGAGAGAAAGAGAGAGAGAAAGAAAGGAAGAAAGAAAGAAAAAGAAAGAGAGAGAAAGAGGAAAGGAAAGAAGGAAAGAAAGAAGAGGAGGAGGAGGAAGAAGAAAGAAGGAGGAGGAGGAAGAAATTCAGGGATGAGTCCACTTGTTGGACCTTGTGGTAGTCACCTCTGAAACTGTTATTTTGGTCTCAGAAATAAAGTAGAATTGGGATCAATGACATTTATACATTGCCCAAACCATGTCTTTCTTTCTTGTCTCATTCCTTTTTCTATAAATCAATTTAGAAAAAAATCTTCTCCACACTGTCTTTTGGTTTGTCCTTTACTTTTTTGGTCTTTCAGTCTATTAATGACACAATTTGTGACTACCTGTCTTTCTCCTCTTCAGATTGCTTTCCTTTATGCTATACAATGCTATGTTCTTATTTTCTAAGTTTTTTGTAGTTGTCATGAGAAATTACCTTGATGCAATGGTGACCTACAAGTACACTACAAGGCAAGCTATCCCGGAAGTCACAAAACAGGCTCAAAGATCAAATTAAGATGTTTGAATCGCATAGTTTATTAAATCACTTTAAAGCACATAATCTGAAGCAAGAGGAAAGCGATGGGGTAACTTTCACACTTAGGATAGGGTTCAAGTGGGAAGGACCACACGAGGTGAATCCTGAGTTATGCTACATTCATACATCCTGTGTCTCTCTCCATCTGCGGCATCAGCCTTCTTCACTGATGGTCAGATTGAAGTTTGAGCCAGGTCAACAGACAGAAGGTGCTTGGGGCCAATGATACACACTTGCTCTATTAAAGAGAGACAGTGACAAGTACGCCTGGCCACAGCCATAACTTGTCAATCAGCCTGCAAAAAGCTATGGGTACTATAAGGATTTCTTAGGTAGAGCACATGTGGGCCCAGAGTAGGACCATAAGTGGCTGGTATAAGTGGCTGGTTCTTTCCATCCCTTTCCATCTATAAATAATATAGTAATATAGTAAATATATTTAATATAGTAAATATAATAAATACAATAATACAGTAATATGGTAAATATAATAATATAGTACATATATCAGTCTATATTTAGTATATTATGAATTCTACCTATGTCTCACAAGCTACTCGCTTACTCATTATCTGTGCTTAGCACATCCTATGGGATTAATCCACCTCATTCTGTGCTCTACTACAGAACTGAACTTTCTCAATTAATAGAGCAAACTCATGTTACACTAATCAACCTTTAAATATTTTCTCATGTATGCAGTTAAATGTATTGACATTACTTGTAACATTTTTGTATTATCTTATTCTATTTACCTTGTCATTTCTCACTTTCCTTACAGTTTTTGTCATTTTGAAGAAACCAACAGGGATGTTTGGTGCAAATTCCCAAAATAATTCAATCCAATTCAATTCTCCACATTTCCATTTGACATTGATATACAGGCTGTGAAATATACCTCTTCTTACTTTACGTTCCAGAAAATCAAGCCTTTAAAATTATTTTTACATGGCTGGGTGCGGTGGCTCACACCTATAATCCCAGCACTTTGGGAGGCTGAGGCGGGCAGATCACCTGAGGTCAGGAGTTTGAGACCAGCCTAGCCAACGTGGTGAAACCCCATCTCTACTAAAAATATAAAAATTAGCCAGGCGTGGTGGCTGGTGCCTGTAATTCCAGCTACTTGGGAGGCTGAGGCAGGAGAATTGCTTGAACCTGGGAGGCGGAGGTTGCAGTGAGCCGATATCGTGCCATTGCACTCCAGCCTGGGCGACAACAGCGAAACTCCGTCTCAAAATAAATAAATAAATAAAATAAAATTATTTCTATGTAATCGCAGTATCCTTTAAAAATGTATTGACAAGTGATGAGAAAACAATCTTCATTTCTGTTTCTTATGTAGTTCGTTAATTTGACATATGAGGCTTGATAAACATTTTCTTGTGCCACACATGCACTAGACCTCAGCAGTTGTCCTGTTGAGCACAATAAATTCATGAACTGGGGAGTCTTCTGCATTTAATGACTATAAATAAAGCTCCAAGGATGATGTAAAATGCTAGGGGCTGTCTTCCAATTTCTACCCAACATAGGTACTCACAGTTTTTCCAACAAAGCTCAGAAAAGTTAGCGAGTTATCCTCAACCAACAGGTTCATCAATAAGCATCTACTGAGTGTCCATTCTTCACAAGGCACTGGAAGAAAACAGAACTTATCACCGGATTCTGACACTCATTTTATCTTATGTGTATGCCTGATAAAAACTTTCTGCTTACAAAATGTATTTTTAGAAAAGTCACTTTGGAGCCCATCTCTTCATTGTAGGAGAATTTTCTCTTACTCAATTATAAATTTACAACAAGTACAAGAAAAAAAGCCATGTTTAGGAAAAAAGACAAAACCTTAATGTGCTTATAAGATTGGGTAGATAAAGGAGAATAGAGCAGGCTGAGTGTTTTAGGCCATTCTTGCATTGTTATAAGGAATAATATATAAAGAGAAGAGGTTTAACTGGCTTATGTTCTTCAGGCTGTACAGGAAGCATGATTTTGGCATCTGCTTGGCTTCTGGGGAAGCCTCAGGAAGCGTACAACCATGGCAAAGGCAAAGAGTGAGCAGGCATGTCACATAGCCAGAGGAGGAGCAAGAGAGACAGAGAGTGGGGCAAGGGGAGGTGCCACACACTTTTAAACCACATGATCTCAAATGAACTCAGATAGAGAGTTCTTATTACCAAGGGAATGGCCCAAGCCATTCATGAGGGATCTGCTCCCATGATCCAAACACCTACCACCAGGCCCTACCTCCAACATTGGGGATTACAATTCAACATGAGATTTGGTGGGGACATACATTTAAACTCTATTAGTGAGGTAGCAAATTATTGTATAAAATGCTAAGTGGTTTAGGAATTTATCCCCTTGAACCCAGACATATGCTATCTAATATGGTAGCTACTAGCCAAATACAACTTATTACATTTAATTAATTACAATTAAAGATTCAGTAATCTTTATTTTAAAATAATAATACACTAGCCACATTTTAAGTGTTCTGTAGACACATATGGCCGGTGGCTACCATATTGATTAGTATAGAAATAAATGTTAGTAGGACATTTCTATTATTACAGAAAGTTTTATTGGATAGTGCTGTCCTAGATATTGAGGAAATATAAAAAAATTTTGAGCACAGTTTAAAATGATAAAATTACAATTTTCCACAAATATCTAGGAAAAATTGGATAGACTGGAAAAAGATAAGACAATTAGGATACGAATCAGAATACATGTCATCCACAGGTTGTGGTTATAGAAATGAAGAATGGTATGTGTCAGTGGTGCAACCAGAAGCAGAACTACAGTCACAGAGCAGATATGGAGGCTGAAGGAGAGGTGGAATGCTTCTTGTTTAGGAAAATGGGTGGATATTGACCCTATTTTCTGAAATAGGAAATGCCAGAGGAGTGAAATTGATTTTTTTTAGTGGATGATAAATTTAGGTTTTATTCATGTTGTTTGAGATTGTCTTAGTCCAGTTGTGCTGCTGTAATAAAATACCACAGACTGGGTAATTTATGGAGAACAGAAACGTATTTCTAACAGTTTTGGAGTCTGGGAAGTCCAGGATCAAGTTGCCAGCAGGTTTGTTGTCTGGTGAAGGTCCAGTTTCTGCTTTCAAGATGGCATCTTGAATGCTGCAACCTCCAGAGGGGAGGAATGCTATTCTACATGGTAGAGGGTAGAAGGGCAGAAGAGGAACTCTCTCTGCCAAACCCTTTTTATAAGAGTACCTAATCCCATTCATGAGGGCAGAGCCGGTTATAACTCAATCACCTTCCATACACCACACCTCCCAATATTGTTGTATTGGGGATTAAGTTTCAAAATGAATTTTTGGAGGAGACAAAAACCTACTGCCAGCCTCCACCTCCAAACTGGGGATTGCAATTCAACGTAAGATTGGGCGGGGACTTATATTCGAACTGTATCAGTGAGGCAGCAAAGTATTGTATAAAATGCTAAGTGGTTTAGGTATTTATACTCTCGAACCTAGACATGTGCTGACTAGTACGGTAGCTACTAGCTATGTAAACCATAGAAGAGATTGTGGAGGGCATTCTAGTAAGATGTATAATAGGCAACTAGCTACACAGGCAGTCCCTAACTAACATAAGTTCCACTTACGATTTTTTTTTTTTTTTTTTTTTTTGAGATGCAGTTTCGCTCCTGCTGCCCAGGCTGGAGTGCAATGGCGCCATTTCAGCTCACTGCAGCGTCCGCGTCCCCAGTTCAAGCGATTCGCCTGCCTCAGCCTCCCAAGTAGCTGGGATTACAGGCGCCCAACACCTCGCCTGGCTAATTTTTTTATTTTTAGTAGAGATGGGGTTTCACCATGTTGGCCAGGCTGACCTCCTGATCTCTGTTGATTCGCTGGCCTTGGCCTCCCAAAGTGCTGGGATTACAGGCGTAAGCCACTGCGCCTGGCCCACCTAACGATTTTTTGACTTACAATGGATTTATTGGGACATAGCCCCATCATAAGTTGGGGAGCATCATGAGTTGTAGAGTATAGGTTTGGAGGAGTCAGTCTCCAGGAGCTTGGGGAGAGATGCATAAGTTATAATGTGGATCTCTCTTTACTTCCTTAAATTAAGTGCCTAGAAGTAAATTGCTTCTTCAAAAAGTATGGATTTTATGTGAGGACTTCCGAAATTTCTTCCCCCTCTTCCTGCCACACACACCCCCTAGTGGCCTTTATGTTGTCATAATGAACAGATGTTACTGATGGGCTTGTAAAATTCTCTACAAGTATGCTGATGTGGTCTGGTGTTTTAAAATTCATTAGTTGGGAGAGAGATTTCAAAATTATATCCCCTTCTTTGTACAAACTGCAACAACCCTCTGCCCAACTCCAACAGTTTTGTAAATATTACATGGAAGTACATATCTGCATCAGTACAGTTCCAGGCAGGAAAACAAATAATTAAAAGTATTTTAAACAGACGCCATTCACTATGGAGAAATAGTTAAGCAGATATTGAAGGCTAGAAGAGCAAAAAGGGAGAAGTAAGATTAAATCAGAAATTTTAAACTGCAGGATGGCTACCAGTCCTTGAGCTGGTGGAACAGAAGGTAGAAGTAGTAGTATCATAGCACAAGAGCAAACTCACTCACTGTTAAGGGTGTCACTTTCTTAAGGTAAGGAAAGGAGGGGCTGCTCCAACTGGCTCTAGACTTTGTAAGGGACATAGTCATCGCTCTAGATGCCAGAAGCAGAGAGTAAAATAAATGGACAATAGCTTTCCCATGTTCCACCTTTTGATTTCCTGCCTGTGCCTCCTGTGGGCAGAGTCTTACAGGAAGCCATCTAACAAGGAAGGCTGGGAAATGTAGTTTGTGGACTCCCTGCCTAGCCATCATCTCGAAGCAGAGGGTAGGTGAGTATGGGGTTCAAAGATTACAAGCAAGTAACCTGCATAGCAACTTATCAGGAAAAAGAAAAATCCTCCATTAGACAGTAAACTCATAAAGAAAAACCGACTTTAGTTTTTAATCTTTGACAGACTTTATAGACTCTAGGGCCTATCACAGTGCTTGCCATATAAAATGCTCAATCAATATCAACAGATATTTAAGTGAATAATTGCCTATTCTCACCATTGGTAAAATTTAAATCAGTATTCAACTTAAATGATTGCCAGATAATACAACTGATTTTTAAAGAAATACACTTTAACTCATATGGACATAAATATTTTACAGTATCCAAGTAGTGCTGACATTACTCAAGGAATTGTTTAGGACTACTTGTTCAAAATTGTCTTTCAGACCTAGTTCTTCGGAAATACATTATAATTATTTCTATAAAAGTGGGCATGACTAAGTAGAATCTAGTCTTGCCCACTTTTGGCCCAGCCTGACTCAACTGGTTTTGATCTGGATGACTTAATATTATTTCTGAAAATTAAATCTACTCTGAAAGAACAGACTTATTACTAATTTTGTTAAGTACTTACCGCGATTTCCAATTAAACTTGAGGCAACATGATGTCTTACTCCACTTCCGCCACTGTAGGCTTGAAATAAGATGGCAAGTGTGGTGAATAATAATGGTAATAACTCAAATAAGACTTTGGCCTTTGCTGCCATCCTATGAAGACAGAATCACCACCCCCCAGCCCTCACCCCTCACCCCCGCAATCCGAGTAATTTCAGGAAGCTATTTGTTTCCTTATCCTTGGGTTATTTTCAGTTAAGACAAATGTACAAGCACAAAAAGGAGTCTCTTAGCTTCTGACTCCTAGGACATAAACCAAGACACGCTTTACTATCACATACTCATTTCCCTAAAGGGAAGAAGCCAAAAAATGCATACTATAGTAAAATGGGAAACATTTCAAGGGACAGTAAGGTGTGGGGAAGAGTGGGCAGATGTTGTGGCTGTTACCTGCGTGAAGGTAAATAAAATATTAACAATAACAAGCACTTCTACACCGCTATGTGCAAGGTGCTATTTATCCTTTCAATCACAGCTCTGTGAGGTAGACACTTATGACTCCCATTTTACAGATGACAAAACTGAGGCTCACGAAGGTGGTTAACTAGCCAAGGCCACTCGTCTAGGAAGTGAGAGGCCAAGGTTCAATCCTAGGCAATCTGGCTTAAGTTTGTGTTCTGTTAAAAAAAAAAAAATTAAAGGTTATCTGGCAATTTTTTAAACGTCAGGACTGTCATCTGTGGAATCAATTGAAAAGGGAATCAACACTTCAGAAACTGTAATACACCAAGGGAACCTGCTATCCTGGGAAAGAGAGATAAAGGAGAAGTCAGCTGACTGTCCTCCTTCAGACTAGCTCAGACCACCCCAACCTGCGAGGGCCCTGGAGACCCCTGTGGCGCAACAGATCCCTTACTGGGTCCCTTCCAAGTGGCGTCACATAGCAAGCGTCCAGAAGGAGGCGGGACTTCCGGGCCAAGCGAGCCAATTCCGGCCGCGCCGGAAGTCTCTACTGAGGAAAGCTATGAGGATACTCTGTTCGTAAGCTCCCGGTGAATTTTGTTCCACAGACTCGGAAGAAAGGTTGGATAAGAGTTCACTGGAGATTGACAAGTACTCGGGATAGTGAAAAGCCGGAGTTGGAACATGGATAGCCGCTTGCAGGAGATCCGGGAGCGGCAGAAGTTACGGCGACAGCTCCTCGCGCAGCAGGTCCGCGGCCCTGGTGTCCCCTGTGGGAGGGATCGAGAATGCGAGTGCGCGGCCGCCTCCTCCCTCCACACCCCGCCTTTTTCTGTCCCTTCTCTACCTGCCGCTGTTAAGGCCTTTCTGGTCCTGCGATCTTGATCCCTGGTTCTGCCTTTGTAGTTCTCAATTTTCGCGGTGTCCCGAATGTTTTTCCAGTTCCTTCCGCGGTCTTTGTGGTGCTAAACCGAATGCCAGGATTAGCCTTTAAGCTTTGTGGAACTCCCACCGAGTGTCTGGCATGTTCACGCCAGGATGAGTGTCATGTTATCCCCTACATTTCTCTTCACTATTAAATGGTCATCTATTTCTTTCTTTTCTTCGTCGTCAGCCCCAAATTCTTGAGATTGTGGTTTCATTATGAAATACGTTTACAGTATTTTCTTTGACATCTTTCTGAAGACAACACTGGAAGTAGCCTGAGTGTAAATTTTAGATTCTGCATCTTATATAGAGTATCCTTGTCACATCCACAGTTAATATTTGAAATCTTACTCTGTGTTAGTCACAATAATCTCCTGAAACAGGTATTATTACCTTCACTTATCAAGTAATGAAAAAGGCTCCATACGTTAAGGAATTTTACTCCTGGTCGCTCACTTCTCTGCTGGGAAATAGAACCTAGGTTTGTCTCCCCAAAGCTTGTCTTCTAAACCATTGTCCTTCACTTCTTTCTTGTGTATGAGTAAGTTAACATTTGCTGATTAGTAGAGTGCACATGCAGAAAATACAGATTGTGCACAGTTCTACTTAAAATCGAGGCTGTATTTTCCATTCTACTATTCAGATCAGTAAAAGTGATAGGAGCAATGCTCATAGAGTGTAATTAGTCATCTTGCAGTTATTTTTCAGTAATGAAACTTGGTTTTAGTAAATGGACTTCTGAAACCTATCCTCTTTATGGTCTGATGAACAGATTTGTGGAATATGGCTAAAACCGTGGAAACTTGGAGTCAGATTTGTTCCTTTGTTCCTTATCCCGCTGGCATTACGATCTTGGGCAAATCAAGTATCCTTTCTAAGTCTTCTTTTCGCCAACTTCTTTTATCGTATTATCTTCAAAAATGTTAAGTAGCTCTTTGTTGCTACCACAGAAGACGTTTTACTCCTTAATATTGAATTCAAACTTCTATTTGACTCAATATACATTCATAGGACAATTATTTGTTTAGTGTTTTACACTCAGCAGATGCCAGGGGCTCTACCTTTTAAAGTCTTTTATGAATTGGTTGCACTCTACTTAGCCAGCCTTATAACCATTATTTGTTTACATTTGTTTGTATTTTGCAAAATTTTCCAAACTGCCAAACAAAATTTATGTTACCATTTTAAGGTAGTAAAGTTCAGCCTTGTGTCTATAAATAGTAAGACTTAGCTTGAGTAAAACTGGATCGATTTTTATTAGAGCATAGAATAAATAAGTTATATAAGCTGATGCCTACAAAATGTTTAACATGGTACCCACAACCCTGTGCAAACACTGTCTTATCTGCCTTTTTTAGTTATTGCTATTGCAGGTTGAATATCTCTTATCTGAAATGCTTGGGCCAGAAGTGTTTTGGATTTCAGATTTTTTTCAGGATTTGGAATATTTGCATATTACTTACTGGTTGAGCATGCCAAATACCAAAACTCAAAATCGGAATGCTTCAGTGACCATTTCCTTTGAATGTCATGTCAGTACTCAAAAAGTTCCAGATTTTGGAGCGTTTTGGATTTTGGATTTTCAGATTTGGAATGCTCATTTTATATTAAATCGTGTGTATTGCTTCACAGGAAATTGGCTAAAGTGTCTTATTTTCAAATACAGATGGTTCCAGACTTACTATCATTTGACTTAACAATTGACTTTATGATGGTTTGAGAGTGATAGGCATCCAGGCTGCTCATTGACTTACGGTGGAGTTGTGTTCTGATAAACCCATCATAAGTGGAAAATATTGTAACTTGAAAACACACTTACAACGTTTATTTTGAAACAGATTTACTTTCAACTTACAATGGGTTTATCAGGACATAACCTCATCATAAATCAAGGAGCCGCTGTATAACTGAAAGCATAAAATGTTTTGCCAGCTGTCAAACTCATCTTAATTAATGCGGTTTTTTTCCAGAGTTTTTCCAGTTTGTCTTGCAAGCTGATTAATTCATTGTTTTGTGTGTGTGTGTGTGTGTGTGAATTAAGGTGTTTTTGTTTTTTAAGTATTTAATGTATTAAATGCTGCTACAAATGCCCAGAAAGGCTATCCAGTGCATTGCAATCTAATTTCTGATTTTGTCTTTTCTCAGTTGGGAGCTGAAAGTGCCGACAGCATTGGTGCCGTGTTAAATAGCAAAGATGAGCAGAGAGAAATTGCTGAAACAAGAGAAACTTGCAGGTCAGTCAGATAATTCTTTTTTTTTTTTTTTTTGAGACAGGGTTTCACTCTGTTGCTTAGGCTGGATAGGCTGGAGTACAGTAGCATGATTATGGCTCACTGCAGCCTTGACTCCTGGGCTCAAGTGGTACACCTGCCTTGGCCTCCCAAAGTGCTGAGATTACAGATATGAGCCACTGTGCCGAGGCAGGTGGATCACTTGAGCCCAGGAAGTCGGGAGTTCGAGGCCAGTCTGGCCAACATGGTGAAATCCCATCTCTACTAAAAATACAAAAATTAGCCAGACATGGTGGCGGGCTCCTGTAATCCCCGCTACTCGGGAGCCTTAGGCAGTAGAATTGCTTGAAACCGGGAGGCGGAGATTGTAGTGAGCTGAGCCAAGATTGTGCCACTGCACTGCAGCCTGGGAGACAGAGTGAGACTCCGTCTCAAAAAAAAAAAAAAAATGTGAAAGGATTACTGTTTTAATAAATAACCCTAGGTAGGTATGCAGTGTATTAAGAAAAGCATCAAAATAATGATTTTAGACACAATGGTTTTTATTGTCAGTTCATTAATTATAAAATATTTATTTTCTGAGGATAGTAAGTTCCCATTTGTAAAGTACTTAGAAAATGGAATGTTAGACTAAGAATTAGCATATATACTATAAATAAACAAGTATATTTAAACATTTTTTTGGAAATAGAGTCTCGCTCTGTCACCAGGCTTGAGTGCAGTGGCGCAATCTCGGCTCACTGCAACCTCCGCCTCCAGGGTTGAAGCAATTCTCCTGCCTCAGCCTCCCCAGTAGCTGGGACTACAGGTGCGCGCCACCACCCCCAGCTAATTTTTGTATTTTTAGTAAACATGGGGTTTCATCATGTTGGCCAGGCTGGTCTCGATCTCTTGACTTTTTGATCCGCCTGCCTTGGCCTCCCAAAGTGCTGGGATTACAGGCATGACCCACCATGCCCAGCCTAAAAATTTTTATAAAAGAAAATATACTTTATCCTAAAAGTGGTATTTATTTGGTAGTTCAGAAAGCATTTCAAAATTTTTTCGCTATTCTAGTTTTCAATTTGTACGTCTGTTTTGCTCAAAACAGATTAAAATAATACATACTATATAAATTTATTTTCAATATATCCCTTATAGCAGCTTATTTTCTCATTTGGTTGCTTTCTGATAAAAATGAAACACAGAATTATCAATCAGGTTATTTGACTTTTTGGATGACTTATAAACTGCGTAGATAGATATTCTTTAATCAGGAAAAATTTGTCTTGTTCTGTTTTTATAACCTGTTTATTATTATTAATAGATGCATTTATACATCTTGTATATATTTATGGGTAATATTTCTGTTTATTTTTCAGGGCTTCCTATGATACCTCTGCTCCAAATGCAAAACGTAAGTATCTGGATGAAGGAGAGACAGATGAAGACAAAATGGAAGAATATAAGGCAAGTAGAGAGTGAAATAAGTTTATGGTCAAAGAAAACATAAATCCAAATGATAGATTCATATCCAGGAAAACAAATTTGATGGAAAGCCTAATTTTAAGATGTGCTAAAATAATTGTCAGTGGCATATGTTATCACCAGTTACATTAAGACCATTATATCAGTTTTCTTATCTTTTTCTTTTCTTTTCCTTTTTTTTTTTTTGTGACGGAGTCTCGCTCTGTCGCCAGGCTGGAGTGTAATGGCACAATCTCGGCTCACTGCAACCTCCGCCTCCTGGATTCTAAGGGATTCTTCTGCCTCAGCCTCCCAAGTAGCTGGGACTTGGTGCACCACCATGCCCAGCTAATTTTTGTATTTTTAGTAGAGACAGGGTTTCACCATGTTGGCCAGGATGGTCTTGATCTCTTTACCTGGTGATCCACCTGCCTTGGCCTCCCAAAGTGCTGGGATTATAGGTGTGAGCCACCGTGCCCTGCCAGTTTTCTTATCTTAATGCAAGAGTTATGTGGATTAAATGAGGTTATATATATGAGGCACTTAGCATAATGTCTGGTAAGAACTAGGTAATAATATTCTTTTTTTTTTTTTTTTTTTTTGTGAGACAGAGTCTCACTCTGTCGCCCAGGCTGGAGTGCAGTGGTGTGATCTCAGCTCAGTGCAACTTCCGCCTCCTGGTTTCAAGCTATTCTTCTGTCTCGGCCTCCCAAGTAGCTGGGACTACAAGCACGCACCACGACGCCCGGCTATTTTTGTATTTTCAGTAGAGACAGGGTTTCACCATATTGGCCAGGCTCGTCTCGAACTCCTGACCTCATGATCCACCCGCCTCGGCCTCCCAAAGTGCTGGGATTATAGGCGTGAGCCACCATGCCTGGCCAGCAGTAGACAATAATATTCTTAAAGATGACTGAGGATATAAGTGTATCATAAACCTTGGGCCCAGTGTGGTGCCTCACGCTTGTAATCCCAGCACTTTGGGAGGTCAAGATGTGCAGATCACTTGAGGTCAGGAGTTTAAGACCCTCCTGGCTAACATGGTGAAACCCTGTCTCTACTAAAAATACAAAAAATTAGCTGGGCATGGTGGCACACGCCTGTAATCCCAGCTACTTAGGTGGCTGAGGCAGGAGAATCGCTTGAACCTGGGAGGCAGAGGTTGCAGTGAGCTGAGACCATGCCACTGCACTCCAGCCTGGGCAACAGAGTGACTCTGTCTCAAAAAAAAAAAAAAAAAACACAAAACTTTGGGTAATTGATTGGATCAGATTTTGAGAAGCTGCAGTAGCTTTGGATCAGATTTTGAGAAGCTTTTTTGAGGAGTTGTTATTCCATGTTAACAATATTGGATAGTATAATCAAGATATTTTTAGGATTTATGGCCTGGACTACATTGTAGAAATATTTCTGAAAGAGGCTCAAGAAAAACCCAACTTCTAACTTGTAATTGCAATATTTAGTTGAAATAGTTGAAAGTATTATGGTCCAAAAAACTTACTTTTGTTTTTTCAAGTTAATTGTATATAATAGAGATAAGAATGTATAGTTTCAATAAAATCTCTAGAAAGTTCAGTGAAATAATACCTAATCTCGTGAATATTGTCTTATATGTTGCAGTTCTGATAATATGTAACTTAAATGTTTGTGACTTTTTTTTTTATTAATTAAAATGTTAGTGATTATTTTAGGTGGAACTATATGCAGTTGCTGATATTCTAACCTTTTTGACCTTTAAGCATAGCAGTTTCATATTGCAACATTGGTGGTCGTATCTTTCATGACTCAAACTAGACTCTAACACTTATAGTATTGTATATGAGATAAATAGTTTTAGACAAATCAATCAGCAAAATAGTAGTTACAGTAATTATTTATGATAGGAAATTTTTTTATGAAAATAATCAGCTAGCTAGATCTAATAATGGGAAAGCAAAGACTTCAATGTTTGATTTTAATGCTAATTTAAAACATTTATTAAATCTTAAGGAAATAAAATATGTTGAGTTTTAATCAGGATGTGATAGAGAAATAACCCCTATTTGTAAAATATTTACTTAATCTTATGTTTTTCAAGGATGAACTAGAAATGCAACAGGATGAAGAAAATTTGCCATATGAAGAAGAGATTTACAAAGATTCTAGTACTTTTCTTAAGGTAAAATAAATAATTTTCAAATTTTGTAACTCTTCATATTTAAGTTCTATACCTGAAAAGATTTTAAATACCTGTTTGTCTTCAAGATGTTTTTTAATTATTGAGGGATCATTGTTATAAAATAAAGATTATTTAAAATTACTCATGAAATAGTCTTCTGATATTTGGCTATTTAGTGTGAGGTAACAGTATATTAATATCAGTAGCTACTGAAAAGTAATAATTTTAGTTGTATTTTCAAATATTACTAATTTTTAAATCTATCAATTGATTGCATTTTATATCACCTTGTAATAGAAAACAGTACAGAGATAATTTATCTGCCATTACAATGCATGTTACAAATTTAATTTTGTTTTTTAATTTAGGGAACACAGAGCTTAAATCCCCATAATGATTACTGCCAACATTTTGTAGACACTGGACATAGACCTCAGAATTTCATCAGGGATGTAGGTATGTCAGGTTTGTTTGGACTACGCTATTGCTGACTCTCAATTACATGCATGTAATTTATCCAATTTGTGGATATTTCTAACAAAATTATTTCTCCAGCTTGACATCTTTTTTTCGTTCTCAGTGCTTCTGGTATACCTTCTTTTTCTTTTCTTTTCTTTTTTTTTTTTTTTTGAGACAGAGCCTTGCTGTGTTGCTCAGGCTGGAGTGCAGTGGGGTGATCTCTCTTGGCTCACTACAACCTCTGCCTCCCAGATTCGAGCGATTCTCCTGCCTCAGCCTCCCAAGTAGCTGGGATTACAGGCACCCCCCACCGTGCCTAGATAATTTTTGTGTTTTTAGTAGAGACGAGGTTTCACCATGTTGGCCAGGCTGGTCTGGAACTCCCGAGGTTTCACCATGTTGGCCAGGCTGGTCTGGAACTCCTGACCTCAGGTGATCTGCCTGCCTCAGCCTCCCAAAGTGCTGAGATTACAGGCGTGAGCCACCGCTCCAGGCCCTGTATACCTTCTTTTTCTATAATCGATATTACTATTTTTTTGTTTGTTTCTTTTTGGCTCCAGTTTGGTATTATGCCTATTCTTGCATTTTAGACAGATTTATTGAGATAATACTTACATACTGTACAATTCACTCAAAAGAGTTTTTTTTTAATGTATCCACAGAATTGTGCAACTATTTTCACAATCTATACTAGAACATTTGCATCTCCCCTAAGGAAGCCCTGTACCCATTAGCAGTCAGTCCCCATTTCCTCTCTCTCATCTACCCCTTCTCAGCCTTAAGTATCTGCTGATCTACTTTCTATTTCTATACGTTTGCCTATTTTGGACATTTCTTGTAAATGAAATTATACAATGTGTGGTGGTTTGTCACTGGCTTCTTTCACTTAGCATATTTTTAAGGGTCATCGATGTTGAAGCATGTGCCTGTACTTCATGTTTTTAAATTGCCAAGTAATATGCTATTGTATATGTTTACCTTTCTGACAACTACTCTCTTGTGTTTCCAAGCAGCTGCACGATTTTACATTTTTACTAACAACGTATGATGGTTCCAATTTCTTCACATCTTTGGCACTTACTATTATCTGTTTTTTATTGTAGCCATCCTAGAAAGTGTGAAGTAGTATTTTACTGTGGTTTTGATTTGCATTTGCCTAGTGACTAATGATATTGAGCATCTTTTTTTATGCTTATTGGCCATTTAAATATCTTTTTTAGAGAAATATCCTAATACTTTGTGTATTTTTAAATTATTTCACTGTCTTTTTACTATTGAATAACAAGAGTCTTTTATATATTCTCTTTGTGTGTGGGTGTGGGTGTGTATTTTTTACATATTCTGAGTACAAGTCTCTTAACCTGATGAATAATTTGCGAATATTTTCTCGCATTCTGTGGGTGACTTTCTTGATAGTATATTTTGTAGCACAAACATTCTATTTTTGATATAATCAAATTTAGTTTTTCCTTTGTTACTTGTAAGCAACATTTCTCTTGAAGTAGAGAAACTAATTTTAATGTTTTTATAAGCAAAATGTAGATGTAGCATAAAAATTTATGGTTAAATTGTATAACCAGATTTAGATATAAACTGCTCTGCTCTTAGGATACCTGCCTCCCCAAGGCAAAGAAAACATACTTAGAAAACTATTACAGATTGAGGAAAAGTTGTACCTTCTGTTTTATAGGTGATTAGAAGCTGACTCTGCTGTCTTGAAATTTGACTATAATAAAATCTTCAAATTCATTAATTGAAATGTGATCTGCAACCACTGACTGAGGAAGCTTTACAAAATCATTTTCTTTTTTTCTTTGATATTAAAGTTACTAATATTTGTACTTTTGGTTTTTAAATTAGGAAGTTCATATAATTTATGTTGTTATAAATGTGCTTCCTGTTTGGGAAGAAAAGAAACACTCATTTTCTTTGCTTTGAATAACTATCCAAGAAATTAAGTAAAAATCTTAACAATCAGGTTCTTTAGGATAAGGATTTTTTTTTTTTTTTTAGCTAAGAGGAAGGGGGAAAAGAATCACACAAGAAAGGTAGTTGTTTTTTTTTTTTTTTCCTGAATGTTAAACTGGATGCTAGGGGTAATGGTTTAACTTAATAAATATGTGATATTAAGTGGCTTATTGACTTGGACTGGGTTTTAGAACATCTGGGTTTTTACTTGCATGTCATTAGTTATGAAATCTGCATACATATTATTTAAAATTATTAGAAGTTAAGCTTCCTTAAAAGATATGAGTCAAGTGGCATGTGTATTATTTTGTTTTCTTGGGAGGGCTCATAACTTTTGAATTACTGATATTAACTTCAGTTGAGATGAATTCAGAATTTACTATTTTTTCTGCTCAGGTTTAGCTGACAGATTTGAAGAATATCCTAAACTGAGGGAGCTCATCAGGCTAAAGGATGAGTTAATAGCTAAATCTAACACTCCTCCCATGTAAGTGTTTTTATTCAATTACTGTTTATTCCCAACTCAGGCTTAAAGTATCAGTTTGTTTATCCTATAACCTTTTTTCTTCTTCCTAAATTCAGCACTTATGTTAACATGCTTTATTACTCTGTTTCTTCTCTCTGCCTTTTTGTTTTTTAAAGGCTGGTGCTCATTATGTTGCCCAGGCTTGTGTCCATCTCCTGGGCTCAAGCAATCCTCCCACCTCACCTGGACTACAGGCATTTCAGCCATCACTCCTGGCTCTATTTTTCTTTCTTTCTTTTTTTGTTTTGAGATGGAGTCTTGCTCTGTTGTCCAGGCTAGAGTGTGGAGTGTAGTGGCGCAATCTTGGCTCACTGCAGCCTCCGCCCCCTGGGTTCAAGTGATTCTCATGCCTCAGCCTTCTGAAGAGCTAGGATTACAGGCACGCACCACCATGCCTGGCTAATTTTTGGCACACACCACCATGCCTGGCTAATTTTTGTATTTTTAGTAGAGACGGGGTTTCACCATGTTGCTCAGGCTGGTCTCAAACTCCTGACCTTGGGTGATTTGCCCCCCTCAACCTCAAAATGCTGGGATTACAGGCATGAGCCAGCGTACTGAGCCCTATTTCTTCGTTATAGCAAAAATGTTAATTTGAAGCTCTGGTGCTGAGTTCAGAGGGGGCTCTCAGTTTTTTTTCAGCTTTTCAGATAATTTGCTTAAAGTGCCTCTAAATATTTTTTCTTCTTAAAAGTCATCCAAGTCGGGCATGGTGGCTCACCCCTCTAATCCCAGCACATTGGGAGGCTGAGGCAGGTGGATCACCTGAGGTCAGGAGTTTGAGACCAGCCTGCCCAACATGCTGAAACCCTGTCTCTACTAAAAATACAAAAATTAGCTGGGCATGGTGGTGCACGCCTGTAATCCCAGCTACTCGAGAGGCTGAGGCAGTAGAATCGTTTGAATCTAGGAGGCAGAGGTTGCAGTGAGCCGAGATCGCACCATTGCACTTTAGCCTGGGTGACGGAGTGAGACTCCGTATTCTTGATAGCTTACTTAAAATGCCTTTAAATGACTTCTTGTCAAGTAATTTGTTTGTTAAAGGAAGCTTAGAAAACTTAGAGTCAGGAAAGGAAGAAAACAAATATTAATTACAGCTTAGCATTCTGAGATACTATTCTTAACAATTTGGAATATGATAATTCATTTCAACCGTTGCTAAGCAGAATAATGTTTTCCTCAGAAATGTATATGAGATCTTTGAAATTGGAGAATTTAGCTTTGAAGGTTTTGTACATTTAATGATATGATAAAATGTATTTTGGGCCGGGTGCGGTGGCTCACACCTATAATCCCAGCACTTTGGGAGGCTGAGGTGGGCGGATCATTAGATCAAGAGATCAAGACCGTCTTGGCCAACATGGTGAAACCTTGTCTCTATTAAAAATACAAAAATTAGCTGGGTGTGGTGGCGCACACCTGTAGTCCCAGCTATTCGGGAGGCAGAGGCTGAGGCAGAAGAGGTGGAGTTTGAACCCAGGAGGTGGAGTTTGCAGTGAGCCGAGATTGTGCCACTGCACTCCAGCCTGGCAACAGAGTGAGACTCTGTCTCAAAAAAAAAAAAAAAAAAAAAAAAAAAATTGTATTCTGTAAGTCATTAGAAGCACCACAGAATGTTTTAGTATGTGGAGAGGAAGTCTAAGTATACTCTAATATTCATCGTATTTTAAAATACACCTTTACTTTCTTGCTTATTTACTTATTTATTTATTTAAATAGAGACAGGGTCTCACTGTCTCTATTTTGAGACCAGGCTGGTCTCAAACTCCTGGGGTCAATTGATCCTCCCACGCTGGCCTCCCAAAGTGTTGGTATTATAGGCATGAGCCACCATGCCTGGCCTAAAATACACCTTTAATGAGATGTTAAGGTGGGAAGATCACTTGAGCCCAGGAGTTTGAGATTGTAGTACTGTATAATCAGGCCTGTGAATAGCCACTGCATTCAGCCTGAGCAATATAGTGAGACCTTGTCTCAAACAAACAAACAAACAAACAAACGAAAACCCATTTACATTTAAAGTATTTTAAATTTAAAATATTTTCATGCTATGTGACAATAACTTTTCAGTAAAGGCCAGTAATAACTTATATTAGGTAGCATGAAAAGACTCTTAATAGAAACATTTTTACTAATGAAAAAACTAATAAAAGAAAACTATATGAAAACTATGTTTTGGGGGAAGAATTTAAAGCTTACAGAGAAATGGGTTTTCTAACTGAACAATTGAGAATAAAACAATGTGATATTCCTTAGAAAATTCAGATGAGAAGGGAAAGGGGTTCAGAGACACATCTGAGTATGGATTTTTAATATTGAGAGAAGAATATATTCTGGGTGTACATGGGGAAAATAGGACTTTTACTATGTAGTTTAATTACGTTCATGTCTTAAGAAAGATCACTGGTAGATCGTTTAAGTCTATACTGAAGAAAAAAAGACTCAATAAAAAGGCCTTTAGTAATTAGGTTACTGATTACTTTGTAAATAGTGTTTAGTAATAATGTTTAGTGATATCTAAGACATTTCTTTCATTACCATCTGTTAAGGTACTTGAAAATCTTATTTAAAAAGCATTTTTTTAAAAACCTCATTTTTAATGCTTTAATCAAATAGGTACTTACAAGCCGATATAGAAGCCTTTGACATCAGAGAACTAACACCCAAATTTGATGTGATTCTTCTGGAACCCCCTTTAGAAGAATATTACAGAGAAACTGGCATCACTGCTAATGAAAAATGCTGGACTTGGGATGATGTATGATCAAACTTTCTACATTGTAATGAATTATTTATTTTCAAATGAATATGTTTATTTGGTCAGAAAGTGAGATAATAAATATCATCCCTACTTTTGTAGGGATTATAAATGTAGATTTATAGTGTAAATTATAGCTGAAGGTCCAAGGTACATTGACTAATATTACATTATCTTTAATTTGAGCCTTCTTTTCAAGGCAAAAATTGAGCAGATAGCAAGTGAATAGGCTGTAGAAGACTTAAAATTTTGGTCTTAGAGTCCTTGGCTATATAGTTAGAGAAGTTTAAAAACAGATGGAATGATTCATAATTCATTCTGCATTTGATTAGTTTCAGTAAACATCAGAGCTTGTTTATGTATATAAAAACATGATTTCTACTCTTTAAACAGCTTACAGTGTAGTAAAGTATGGATAAACACCCTGTATGGACACATAATTACAATTTTGTTGATTAAACGATGGAGTCCTGCATAAGATGACATGAGAGCAACTGACCAGTCCTGGGTAGATGGGACATAGGAACATAGAGGAGGTGACACCTGAACAATATAAATAGATTAGTTGGAATTAGCCAAGAAAGATGTGGGACGGCGGTTACAAGCAGAAGGAACAACAAGAACAGAGGGGATGGAGGCAAACGACTATCTGGTTGTGGGGTGGAGGTCCTGTATGTAGGTTGGTATTGTTGGAACACAGATTGGGACTATCTTGAGGTGATGTGTTAGGAGTTGGGACTTTTATTCTGAAGACGTTAATAAGTCTGAAGAGTTTTAACCAGTTTAGTAAAAAGGTCAGATTGGTGTTTGGAAGCTGGGCTAGAGTCTGGGAAAGAATTCTGGAAAAATGGCCAGGTGTGGTGTCTCATGCCTGTAATCCCAGCACTTTGGGAGGCCGAGGAGGGTGGATCACGAGGTCAGGAGTTAGAGACCAGCCTGACCAACATGGTGAAACCCTATCTCTACTAAAAATACAAAAATTAGCCGGGTGTGGTGGCACGTACCTGTAATCCCAGCTACTCGGGAGGCTGAGGCAAGACAATAGCTTGAACCCGGGAAGCGGAGGTTGCAGTGAGCCAAGATTGCGCCATTGCACTCCAGCCTGGGCGACACAGCAAGACTCTGTCTCAAAAAAAAAAAAAAAAAAAAAAAAATTTTGGAAAAAGGAGAGCAATTAGAAGACTCTTTCTTAGAGTAACCTAATGCTGAGATGAAGGGACGCTGAATTAGGGTAATAGTAGGAATGGAAAGAAGGTGATACATTCAGCAATGTTTAGGAGGTAGATTTAGTAAGATTGAGTGATTGGGATGAGGGGAAGAGTTAAGGATAACTCAGGGTTTCTATCTTGGGATAGGTGGATTGAATTATCACCAACTGAGAGTGAGTTTCAGAAGATGAGCAGGATTAGAGAGGTTAAATAATACTGAACAAGTTGATTTCTAGGTATATGTGAGACATTCAAATGGAAGAGGTCATAGGAATAAAATATGAAACTCTAAGGACAGGCAGATCTGGTTTCAAAATACATATTTTAGAGGATTATCACATAAAATCCATGTAAATAGATGAGTTTATCCTGGGATCGTGTCTCAGGATAAAAATGTGGACTGACAGTAAAGCCGGGAAAACATTTACATTTAAAGACTACATATAAAAGAAATTTAAAAACGAGTTGTTCAGTGATGAATGAAGAGAACCAGGAGAGTATGAATGTAATGGAAACCAAGGGAACAGTGAGTTTCAAGGAGAGTGTAATCAGGACCGTTCTGCATTTCTAGAAAAGATGTGGGGCAAGGAAAGGACTGAAACTGGAAGACGTGTTTCTTAGGAAACGGATTAGAATCTTTGCATGTCCCTTTCTGAGTTAATGGTAGTTACTACTCTTAATAATATCTATTTTTCCAAGATTTACCTCTAATTCTTCCTCTTCCTTGAAACTTTTCCTATTAGCTTTAATACTCCTAGCACTTTTATTTATATTTGTATGGCTCCTATAATGTAAAAGTTTTTCCCCTTCCCTGTTTAAAGTGTTATCTGTGTTTATTGTTGAAAAATCAGAAAAGTGCACAGAATGTGGTATTTCTAAGACTTAAGATTAGAGACTTAATGCTCTTGATATTTCTTGCAGAGAAGTTTTCCAGATAGGTATAAATTTACATTCCTTTCAGTAGTGTTTAAGAATGTCTAGTTAGCCATATCCTCATTAAAGTTGAATATTAATATTAAAAACCATTTTTTATCAGTTTGCTCAAAAGAAAAAATTTAAACAATGAATCTGATTATGTTCTTTATTAATAATTAGGCAGAATTTTGTTTTCTCTAGCCAATCCGTGAGGTTTCAGCAGTGAAGGTACAAGAACTTCAATTATATGTGATAAACTAATACAGTTTTTAAAATAAAGAAATTCTATTTTATATGCAAATTCTTGATTTCAGTTTAATTTCACTGTACTTCAACTCTGGCTGGCATACTGAAAAATTTTGTCTGGCCCCAGAGCCCTAAGTTCTTTAACTTTTATGAGATACCGTCCTGAAGGAAGTGCCAGTAGTTAATGTAATAAACAAAATGTAAATAAGAAAAATGTTTGGGTTTCACAGGTATTCTTTTTCATGTTAGAGAGTCGGTAGTGGTCATTGTGTTTTACTTAAGAACACAAGCATTAAAGTACCAACACTTAACTTTTAGAATTAGTGTCAAAAGAGAATAATTTTTTTTTTTTTGGCATTTGAGACTCAAAGTAGTAATCGTAGCAAAATATGTATATTGATTTATTGAGAAGTTCTTCTGTAGACACTGGATATCACAGTCCTCCCGAAACATTTATTGTTATATTTTAATTTTAATTTTGTCCCTAACATTGGGCTTAGTTAAGTGCTTCATTCTTTTTCAGTAAATGATAAAAGATTGCTGGAGAATCTGTCTCAAGCTCCATCTTAAAAGATTGCATAAGTCTATAGCTATTGTTTCCTATAAGCTCTTTCCATATAACAGCAAGTGTATATATGTATATATGTGCACAGGTGTGTATGTTGTTTGTATATAAAGTAACAAAACAATAGAACGAGTAATTTTAAGGATAACATTTATTTTCTGTTAGTTCCTAATGGAAACTAATACACTTAAAGAACACATCTATCCTAATAAATCTTAATTGTTGTTCTTTTGGATTTAGGATGAATGGGAAACAAAATACTTTTATGCAATATCGTTTTGATTTCTTACAGATTATGAAGTTAGAAATTGATGAGATTGCAGCACCTCGATCATTTATTTTTCTCTGGTGTGGTTCTGGGGAGGGGTTGGACCTTGGAAGAGTGGTAAGATGGTGCTTTTATAAAGTGGATTTTTAAATTAATAAGAAAAAAATGTAACAGTATGTTGCATAGGATGTTTGAAAGTGGATGTTATTTTGTCCTTTGTTTCTTAAATAATTCTAAAATAGTGAGAAAAAAAAAATGTCCAGAAAAGAACGTAAGAAAGGCAATACTTGTAAGTTAGTTTACCAGCACTAGGGAGGAATGTGTAGCTCTTTCAAAAGACACTTCATTACAAGTACAGGAAGAGAACAGCTTAAAGATTTGAAACTCCAAATTATACCTCAAAAATGAGCTGCTTGGTATCATTTACAATTCTTTATGAGTAGCTAAAAAGTGTTCTATGAGTAGCTAAAAGTATTCAGGAGCATTGGCTCCTGAAATCCAAATGGAAGTCAAATAAAATTGGAAAAGTAACACAGCATATGGAAGACATGAATGAATGAGAAAGAAGTTATAATACCTGAACTTATTTTAAGTATCTGATATTTAATTGTATTTCACAGCTTTTTTATTTTTATTTTTTTATTGGAGTTTTTTTTTGTTTTTTTTTGTTTTTTTGAGACAAGGTACCAACTCTGTTGCCCAGGCTGGCGTGCAGTGGCACAATTGTGGCTTACTGTAGCCTCGACCTCCTGGACTCAACTCAAGCAGTTTTCCCACATCAGCCTCCTAATAGCTGGGACCACAGGCACACCACCACCCCTGGCTAATTTTTTTAGTATTTGTAGAGATGAGGTCTTGTTATGTTGCCCAGGCTGGCCCCAAACTCCTGGGCTCAAGGGATCCTCCCACCTCAGCCTCCCAAAGTGTTAGGATTACAGGCATGAGCCACCACCCCTGGCCCTGATTGGCCTTCACCAAAAGGAACAAAATAATATATATGCTGTTTTAAACAAGAATAACAACAGTATTATGACTAGGTATCAGGAGTCTTAATTTTGCTCTCAATTCAGCTGCTATGCTGTAACAGTAAGACTTTGGGCAAAAAGATACTCACTCTTGAGGGTCTCAATTTTGTCACATTTTATTGGTTGACACTTCGTTTTTATGACATATTATTTATTATACACCAAACTATCTCATTTAATGATTCCAATTTGGGGAGGTATCCATTTGACAATTGAAAAATTTAAGTAGGATTATATGAGATAATAAGTATGATTATATGGAAATAAGATTGTGCCCAAATTCTGAAATTCTACAATTACTGTATATTCTTTATATAAATAGTAAGGCTGTTGGGTAACATCATTGCTTCCATCATTTATTAACTCCAAGGTAAACTATAACTGTGTTTCAGTTGGATATCTCCATTTTTTTGGTGTTGGCTCTTCAAGATGCTATAGAAAAGTAAGAGCGAAACATACATGTTTTTATAGGTATATTGGTGTTTACTTTGTTTTAACTTTAATATCTGACTTTGATCTTTCCTTTCATTCCCCAAATTAGATTGAAAATGATTAGAAGGTTTTTATCTTTTTTTTTTTTTTTTTTTGAGGCAGAGCCTTGCTCTGTCGCCCACGCTGGAGTGCAGTGGTGCGATCTTGGCTCCCTGCAAAACTCTGCTTCCCAGTTGAAGCAGTTCTCCTGCTTCAGCCTCCTGAGTAGCCATCCAGGAGGTTTTTATCTTATTTACTTAATGTAGCAGTTTATCATACTGGTGAGAGTTCGGCGAAAAATGATTTAAAAAATAATTCAGCATGAGAAATACTCATGAGATTTTGATAAATTAGTGGATTAGGGCATGTAGAATTTAGGTCATAGTGATGTTAATGACACCTGGTGCAAAATAAATATTTAGTAACAGGAACAGATATTGATCTTGATTTTGGAGATTTTAAAATAAAATTCTGCTGGGCGCAGTGGCTCATGTCTGTCATCCCAGCACTTTGAGAGACAGAGGCGGGCAGATCACTTGAGGCCAGGAGTTCAAGACCAGCCTGGCCAACATGGTGAAACCCCATCTCTACTAAAAATACAAAAATTAGCACAGCATGGTGGCACGTGCTTGTGGTCCCAGCCACTTGGGAAGCTGAGGCATGAGAATCACTTGAACCTGAGAGGCGGAGGTTGCAGTGAGCCAAGATTACCACACTGAACTCCAGCCTAGGTGAGACTCCATCTCAAAAAATAAAATAAAATAAAATTCTGAGTTTCATTTTGAGGTGTTATCTTACATTACCCAATAAGCATTCCTGAAAAGTGTATGTTTTATACTCTATCTTTTTTTTTTTTTGGTTCAGGGGGAACTCCCAACAGGATTTCCTGTGGTGGAAAGGAAGCTTGTTGGAAGGTTTTATTATTATTATTATTATTATTATTATTATTATTATTATACTTTAAGTTCTGGGATACATGTGCAGAACGTGCAGGTTTGTTACATAGGTATACATGTGCCATGGTGGTTTGCTGCACCCATCAACCCGTAATCTACATTAGGTATTTCTCCTAATGCTGTCCCTCCCCTAGCCCCCAACCTGCCTCTACTATATCTTGATATGTACTTGATCATCATACCAGCAATACTGTACTTATTTGTTTATTTTTCCCTCCTTTACTCTTAAAGTTGATGGGGATAGGGACTGTGTCTTATTCATGTTTTTATTTCCAGCAGCTAACCAGCACTGGCATATGGTAGACTTTCAGTTGTCACTGTGAGCAGTCATTTAGCTGGTATTTGTTTTATGTTAATGTATAACAGCTTCTAGGACATTAAGGTTCACATCTCTGTTTTCTAGATTATATAGAGATGAAAGTACCATTTTACCCAACAAAGAGATACACGTAACAATTTTAAGTTTGAACATTTTTACAGTTGTATTAAAAATAGAAATAAGATTTTATAAGACTCTCATTTGAAGTTAGCGTTTAGAAAATTTTCAATAGTATGTAGCTTTGTCAGAGAATAGAATATTGAGTTGGCAGGAATCAAATTGTGTTTTGGATTGTTTTGTGATTACAGAAGGTCTGAGTGCTTACAATTTAAAACCCCATGTCCATTGATGACAATAGAATGTAGAATTGGGAGATGATGTAATCCTTTCTATGTTTTGATATTTAACTATATATATGACATTGATATCCAAAAGATATATATGCATTCCGTATTATGGCTATGTATTTAAAGACTGGCATTTCTTTTTATATTCTACACTGAAACAAAATTACCTTGAAACCTTGGAATATAGTGTCTGAAACCTCTAGAAAGTTTTTTTTAATGCTGGTTGTTATTGTTAAGTATTGTTTATTTCTTTAAGTTAAGGATTTGTGTTTAAAATTCTTTTGTTTCTAGTGTTTACGAAAATGGGGTTACAGAAGATGTGAAGATATTTGTTGGATTAAAACCAATAAAAACAATCCTGGGAAGACTAAGACTTTAGATCCAAAGGCTGTCTTTCAGAGAACAAAGGTATTGCCTTTACTGATTTGTTTTTTTTAATTTTTGTGATTTTCTCTCAAGCTTTTCCAAATAACTGTATACTGTTTAATTAACTTCAGTGAAAAGGTCCTTTTCTTAGACTTGTAAAGACAGCATTGAGCATTACAGGAATACATCCAAATTAGTTTTAAAATGTTTTATTCATTATCTTAGATCAACCCCACCATGCTAGAAAGGGGAGTATATATTCCTCCATGTCCTAAATGCCATATTTCTAAGTTAGATAAAGGCTTTTGATCACACTCACCCGCAGAATTTTTCTAGGCTCAGAAAGAAGAGATAGCAAGATCGCAAGACTCGAGTTGGCCAGCTTAGAGACGTATTTCTCTCTTCTTTCCTTCTTTTTCCTTTACAAGAACCCCTGAGAACTTCTGTTTGTTGTGACTCTGCCCTGCTAGTATCAGGCTTTAACAGTTTTTGTTCTTACTTTTTAGGGAGCCTCTGGTGGGAGGGTCTTTCTTATTAAGTCTTTTTTGTACTGGAATCATGCCTAGGTAATGAAGCCTCCGTAAAATCCCAAGATGGGTTGGAGAGCTTCTGGGTTGGTGAACCTGTGGAGTTTCTGGGACGGTGGTCTGCTTGGAGAGGGCACAGCAGCTCCATGCCCCATGCCCCATGCCGCATACTTTTCATTATGTGTCTCTTCCATCTGGCTGTTTTTGAGTTGTATCCTTTTATAATAAATAGGTCATAGTAAGTAAAGAGCTTTCCTGAATTCCTCGAGCTGTTCTAGCAAATGATCTAACCTGAGGAAGAGGTCATGGGAACCTCTGATTTATAGCTGGTTGGTCAGAAGCACAGGTGACAATCTGGACTTGTGATTGGTATCTGAAGGTGGGGCATTCATGTGGTTCTCAGCCCTTGACCTGTGGGGTCTGCACTAACTAGGTAGATAGTGTCAGAATTGAATTGAATTATAGTGTTGATGGAGAAGTGGAGAATTGCTTGGTATGGGAAAAACCCACACATCTGGGATCAGAAGTGAAGTATTCTGAAAATACTGAGTGTTGTGAGTGCGTAGAAGAGTTTGTTTTTCTTATTTACATGGCAGTCTTTCCTCATCCAGAGATCCAGGTTTTCCTGTTGTTTTGTTGCCCATAGAACTGTATCTCACCAGAAATGGTGGCTCACTTCTGTAATCCCAGCACTTTGGGAGGCCGAGGTAGGTAGACCACTTGAGCCCAGGAATTTGAGACCAGCCTGAGCAACATGGCGAGACCCTGTCTTTACAAAAAATTTAAAAATCAGCCAGGTGTGGTGGTGTGTTCCTGTGGTCCCAGCTACTTGGGAGGCTGAGGCGGGGGATTGCTTGAGCCCAGGAGGTCAAGGCTGCAGTGAGCTGAGATCGTGCTACTGTACTCCAGCCTGGGTGACAGAGCGAGACCCAGTCTCAAAAAGAAGAGAAATAACTGTATCCCAAAGATTCCGAGAAATGAGGATTGTTTTAGAATTGAGGACATCAGAAATGTGAAAGGTTTTGGAATGACTGTTGATGAAAACAGATTAATTGGTCTGCTCTTGTTATTTAGGAACACTGCCTCATGGGGATCAAAGGAACTGTGAAGCGTAGCACAGACGGGGACTTCATTCATGCTAATGTTGACATTGACTTAATTATCACAGAAGAACCTGAAATTGGCAATATAGAAAAACCTGTAGAAATTTTTCATATAATTGAGCATTTTTGTCTTGGTAGAAGACGCCTTCATCTATTTGGAAGAGATAGTACAATTCGACCAGGTAGGACCTCAGTTAACAACAACTTTTATGATTCTTTGGGTTATGCATGTCAAGAAATAGGACATGGTGCTGTGTAAAATAAAGTTCTTATGCATTTGATTCCTTTTCTTGCTGTACTTCAAATATGAACAGTTTCAGGTCCACAGCAAAATTGAGAGGAAGGCACAGAGACTTTTCCATATACCTGCTGCCCCCACACATGCATAACCTTTCCAGTTATCAGTATCTCCCAACAGAGTGGTACATTTGTTACAAATGATGAACCTACATTGACACATCATAATCACTCAAAGTCCACAGTTTACATTAGGATTCACTCTTGGTTGTAGTAATTCTGTGAGTTTGGACAAATGTATAATGACATCTATCCACCATTATAGGATCATACTCAATAGTTTCACGGCCCTAAAAATCCTCTGTGCTCCACTTATTCATCCCTACCCACAACTCTTGACAACCACTTATCTTTTTACTGTCTCCGTAATTTGCCTTTGTCAGAATGTTACATAGTTGGAATCGTATAGTATGTAGCCTTTTTAGATTGGCTTCTTTCATTTGGTAATTGGCATTTAAGATTTCTCCATTCCTTTTCATGGTTTGATAGGTCATTTCTTTTTAGTGCCGAATAATATTCCATTGGATGTACCGCAGTTTTTATATCCATTTACCTACTGAAGGACATCTTCCAAGTTTTGGCAATTATGAATAAGCTACAATGGAAATCTGTGTACAGGTTTTTGTGTGGTCGTAAGTTTTCAGCTCCTTTGGGTAAATACCAAGGAGCACAAATGCTGGATTGTATGGTAAGAATGTTTAATTTTGTAGGAAACTGCCAAGACTGTCTTCTGAAGTGCCTGTACCATTTTACATTTCCACCGGCAGTGAGAGTTCCTGTTGCTCTGCATCCTCACCAGCATTTGGTGTTGTCAGTGTTCAGGATTTTGGCAATTTTAGTGTGTGTGTAGTGGTATCATAATGTTGTTTTAATTTGCATTTTTCTGATGACATATGATGTAGAACCTCTTTTCATATGCTTATTTACTATCTGTATGCCTTTTTTGGTGAGATGTCTTTTAAGGTCTTTGGCCCATTTTTTATTTGGCTGTTTGTTTTCTTATTGTTGAGGTTTAAGAGTTACTTGTATATTTTGGAGAATAGTACTTTATCAGATTTGTTTTTTGCAAATATTTTCTCTTATTCGGTGACTGTCTTCTCACTGCCTTGTTGCATGTTTATTTTTATTTAATTACTTTCTGCTTTTTTATTTTCTTTCTAGTTTCTTTGGATTTACTTGCTGTCTTTCTATCTGAAGTATTTTTAGATTGATATTCAGGTTAGGGGTACAGGTTTAATTTTGTACTTGTAAACTACTAGTACAAAAAGAAAGAAAGAAATTGAATAGGCAAGAGTTTCAAGAAAGAAACTCTTGCAAAAATTTAGTATTAGCTACATGCAAATAAGGAAGAAAAATTTGATGGATCAAAGTGTAGATGTTTGGGAGTTAGCCATATAAATAATAGTATGTGCAATTGAGAGTCTGTTCAAGAGACCTTAATTTATGGCCAGGCACTGTGACTCAAGCCTGTAATCCCAGCACTTTGGGAGGCCAGGGTGGGCAGATCACTTGAGGTCAGGAGTTTGAGACCAGCCTGGGCAACATGGTGAAACCCTGTCTCTACTAAAAATACAAAAATTAGCTGGGTGTGGTGGTGTGTGCCTGTAATCCCAGCTACTTGGGAGGCTGAGGCAGAAGAATCACTTGAACCTGGGAGGCAGAGGTTGCAGTGAGCCGAGATTGTGCCACTGTACTCCAGCCAGGGTGACAGAATAAGACCCTGTCTCAAAAAAAAAAAAAAAAAAAAGACCTTAGTTTATTAAGTTGCTCCTCAAACACACTTCTTCCTCAAGGACATAGCCTAAGGTATTTCACATATACCTTAGGAATACAATTTACCATTGCTTTAAAATAAAATTTACAGATAACTATGTGAGTCAAATACACTCTGAAGCCAGACAATTTTTTTTTTTTTTTGAGACAGGTTCTCACTCTTGTTCAGGCTGGAGTGCAGTGGCACGATCTTGGCTCACTGCAACCCCCGCCTCCCAGGTTCAAGTGATTCAGCCTCCTGAGTAGCTGGGACTGCAGGCGTGTGCCACCACACCTGGCTAATTTTTTGTATTTTTAGTAGAGATGATGTTTCACCATGTTGGCCAAGCTGGTCTCGAACTCCTGACCCCAAGTGATCGCCCGCCTTGGCCTCCAAATTGCTGGGATTACAAGTGTGAGCCACCACACACCCAAGCCAGACTATTTTAAACTTACTCTGTTCTTAGTAATACCTTTAGAATTTCTGATAAAACACAATGTTGCTGTGCAGAATTTGGAAGAGAGGGGAATCCCTTGGACTTCTATAGCCAGTTTACTCTGCAAGGATTTCCATGTTTTACGTAAGAGACAGTATAGCAAGGGAGACAGAGTATTAGTTATTTTTATTATATCTTTAAATTTTCTGTTTCTTATTCCTTGTTTGTGGTGTTGTGTTCCACATATATTGAATATTATCTTCCATAATACCACAAACATGCCAAAAAACAAACTAGAAGGCAGCAAATAAAAATCTCATAGGTTTAATAGTCAGTGAGAGCCCATAGGTGTGGAATGTGCTCTTGATCATGGTATCTGCCAGGTAATACATAAAAGACACAGTATAATTAACCTTTTTTTCTTCAACTATTACAAATCTTACTGTATTCATGCACTTTTAGAAACTAAAAATGTTTTAAAAAACAATGAACTAAGTATTGTACAGAAATGGCTACTGTATTTTAGAATGTGATCCTAGTGAAATATTTTTCATTTTATAGCTTTTTATGATGCATCTACTTTTCTAAGAAATAACCTAAGGATGATGGGGCAGATATATTATAAACCTAACTTTGCAGATAAATAACCTAATTCTTACAGATAATTGGACCTGTCCCAAATAATGCTGTGTCTCTTATAATGCTCCAGAGGCATATTTTCAGGGTCCCCTACAAAGGGCATGTCTGTAAGAGTCACCACACCCAAAGAACCCCAGAGCACCGTGTCTGTATTGGGTATTTGTAGTTCCTTCCATTCTAAAGACAGTTTAATCAATCAGAAAATATCCTTATTACAAGAAAAGTTGTCTAGCAATATAATTGGCAAAATAGCTGTTTACCTACAGAAGTATAATGTGCAGTGGAAATTCTGAGAAAGAAGAAATAATTTTCATTTCATGTAAGAAATATATTTGAATTGGATGTTGAAGGGTGGGATTTTTAACAGGTTGACAGGATAGAAAAGAAAATAATATGGGCACAAAAATCGGGGTTAGTATAGAAGCAGTTACTATAGTAGTTCATTGTTTTCCTTAGAGGTTCATGAAAAGCATTAATGAGAAATGTTATTGGAAAGTTCATTCAGCCATCATTGTAAAAGATCTTAGATTTTATATTTATGAATTTGGGCTTTGTGGAAACAGTTGGAAGGTTTTTGAGCAGAGAAGTGACATGTTTTAAGCTTTGCTTTAGGCTTTCCACTTTTAGAGGGAGGAGAAGCTATAGGTTGGGAGATCATTACAGTATATATGTGTGTCTGTTACACATGTGTTATATGGTAGGGTATTGACCTTGTAAAAAAAAATAAAGGCTTAAATTTGAGGGTGGCAGCAGAAATGGAAAGATAGGAATGAGTGGGAGTAACATGGTAGTGGTTGAATTTCTCAGACCTATCAACTGAGAATATTTTCTAGTTAGCAAGTGTAGAGCAAAAGTTGGTTCCAAGATTTTAATCAGAAAATGGCACCATTTACATAAATAGGAAGATTATATATAATTTATTACAGTTTCACTAAACCCAAACTCAGTGTAATGTATGGGATTTTTTTTCTCTAAGTTCTATTCTCACAAAAGATAGTACGTGGATGAGGAGGATATATTACAAAAGTTACAATCTAGGAGGAGAAACAAGATATATACCTGTGAAATCTTTAAAACATGACCACAATTAAGTGCCATTCTGTAAAAGAGATCAGTATTGGATGAATGATGGGGACATCTTTAAGAATGCATTGGGGATTTGAACTAGCTTCTAAAGAATTAATAAGAGAGAATTGCAAATAAAAAGTATAATCTTTTTTTCCTCCATTTCAGGCTGGCTCACAGTTGGACCAACGCTTACAAATAGCAACTACAATGCAGAAACATATGCATCCTATTTCAGTGCTCCTAATTCCTACTTGACTGGTTGTACAGAAGAAATTGAGAGACTTCGACCAAAATCGCCTCCTCCCAAATCTAAATCTGACCGAGGAGGTGGAGCTCCCAGAGGTGGAGGAAGAGGTGGAACTTCTGCTGGCCGTGGACGAGAAAGAAATAGATCTAACTTCCGAGGAGAAAGAGGTGGCTTTAGAGGGGGCCGTGGAGGAGCACACAGAGGTGGCTTTCCACCTCGATAATTGTTGAAGACATTGAACCTATTCATCCTCCTCTAACCTTCTTTATTGTAATTAAATTTCAAGTGGGAGACTTAACTTTAGAACTCACTTCCAGCTTGCACTTTGCTTTAATTTCTCTGAGCTGCAAGAATGTCTTAGCGAGCCTTGCTTGCAGTTGTCACACACACTGTCTGGTTTTTTTCAGGATAAATGAATGATTCTGCCTTTTGTTATGTGCGTGAACAGAATGGAACAACTCAAGTAGCTTCATCTTCAGAGACTGAATTTATTCTGATAGACTTCAGCTAATTACAAAGGATTTTGCTAATTTTTGGGAATAAATAATGGAAAAAGATCCAGTCTGTGGTATCATGCTAGTGCTGACAGGGCCTTGATAGAATAGAGTTGGAAAAGATGGTAAGCTTTTGTCAGGGTTTTAACATTTTCTTGATGAAACAATAAAAAGAGGTAAGCTTTTTTCTTCTTTTTTTTTAAGTTTTAAATAAACTCAGATATAATTTGAATACTGAAGAAATTAAGAGACTTTGAACAAAAACTCTTCCCAAATCTAAATTTGATAGGGGAGGTGGAGATTCCAGGGGTGGGTGAAAGAAGAGATAGAACTTAGCAGGCAGACTTAAAAAAAAAAAAAAAGTTTATCATCATAATCTCAATTTTGTGGCTATGACTCCTAATCACGCTTCCTAAGAAGCAAAGGAGGACAAATATTCATGTGCTAGATAGCACTGTGGTGTGGACTTGAACTTGGATTGACCTTAAATTTTATATTCCTCAAATAAAAGAGAGGCAGCGACAAGATACCTCATTATCAGATGCTTGGTTTATACATTTTGGGACTAAAATACTTGGTGATGAAATGACATACACCTTTAAACTTGTTATGGAGATAGTTTAATGTAAAACCAACTACGGAAAACCCTCAACTTAAGGATACAGCTTGGAAATTGGAACTGCAATTGCCTTTTATTAAAACCATATGGTGTGATGTTTGTTTTTAAAATTATATAAGACTTTATGCTGTCACTTCTCTTGCTGTACTGTAATTCATGTTTTAAATGAATTTGATAATGAAATTATACTATTATCATTCTTGATGAATACTTTTCTTATTTTTATGATTTTTCTAATGAAACTTTAAACTTTTGAGATTTGAGAGTCTGTTTTCTATAAGTAGAATTACTGTTGTTACAAAATGAAAAAGGACTGACCTAAAATCAGTCTCTTCTTTTGGTCTGTGATGGATTTTAATGGCCGTTCTGTGCTCATATATACCTAAGATGAGATTATATTACATCCACCAAAGACTCAGTTTGAAGATAAGGAATGAGTGATAGAAGAAATAAGGCTGAGATCCTTAAAAGCCTAATTAATTTAACTCGCTTAACCCATTAGTACTATCTAGTACAAGACCCCTTTTTTTTTGCTGAAATTATGGTATATTTTCAACTTCACTAATTACAAATTATCTAGATTTAGAACTCTATATGTCAGCATTGACCTGGGAATGAAGTCAGGATAGAGAAATTCCACTTGCCTGTGATGGGTCCTTAGAAGTATCAGCTAAGGAGTGACCCTGTCCTATACACAGGGCTCTCTATTACGTTCCATACCCTGGGCCTACCCAAGGTGACATTCCTGCTGTTTACATGGCATAGGCACCTGTGAGATCAGTGTCACAATTTCATCTTAGAAAGAGGTAGGTATGGCTGCTTTGTCGGTTGAAAGTTAAGGGGAGCCATGATCTACCATATTTAGGAAAAAGTTATTTAAAAAAGAGCAGATGGTGGAAAAAGAATGTAAGACCCAGAATTTATCCCTTTGACAATGAATCTGGCCTTTTTAATAGCAGGATGGAATTGATTCACTAGTTTTTGCTAACTTTCACTTTCAGTAAAGGTTGAGGTGTTGTTTTTGCAATGACTGTGTATTCATTGAGGAAAGGTTTCCAATGAAATTTCATTACTCTGACCTCTTCTAATTTTTGGTCTTCTTTATATTTACATGTCTTACATTCCACAAAATTATTTAGAAATGCTGGGCATGGTGGCTCATGCCTGTAATCCCAGCACTTTGTGAGGCCGATGTGGGTGGATCACTTGAGGTCAGGAGTTTGAGACCAGCCTGACCAATATGGAGAAATCCCATCTCTACTAAAAATACAAAATTAGCTGGGCGTGGTGGCATGTGCACGCCTGTAATCCCCGCTACTCGGGAGGCTGTGGCAGGAGAATTGCCTGAACCCAGGAGGCGGAGGTTGCAGTGAGCCGAGATTGTGCCACTGCACTCCAGCCTGGGCGACAGAGTGAGACTCTGTCTCAAAAAAAAAAAAAAAAATTGTATAGAAATAAATTTTTAGTTGCTTTATGCACTAATTCCTTACTGGGGATAGAAGCTAATTATTGTGAAATAACCTAGTTTAGAAGTTAGAAGATCAGCATGTCTGAGTTTTTACAGAATTATAATTCATGGTATTCCAAACCAACTGTTGTTATTTATTTCCAGTGAGAACCATTTTCCCACTGACCTTCCTCCTTTCAGAGGATGGGGATTAGGAGGCCCAAAGTACTGATTGAGTAGGAATACTTTTTTACTCTTCTTCACTGTGGAGAAAGAAGAGGGCAGGTAGTTGATGATGTCAGGAGAACAGATTTTATGGTGTGGAATACCATACCTAAACACAAATGAATCAGATTAGACCACAGAATTGTGATGATGGCAGTCAGAATGTAATACGGTCATCATGAAACAGCACAGTGTGAGAGGTCAAGGTGTCAACCTGGGAAGTGAGAATCAAGCAGGAGTGTGGCATGGCAACCAACTCACAGATCCAGAGTTGAGAGGGATCACTACTGCAGCAGTTCTGCTCTGTTACTCTGGTAAGTAGTAGAGCCACTTTATGAGCCCTTATTTCCTATCTCCCTTATTCTGAGGCCAGGTCAGTGATATGCTATAGTTTCATTTAAGTTAATGGAGTATAAAGATGGGATACTTGGGAGCTATATTGTGCATCAGGGTGTCACAGCTGCTACTAGGAGTTACTCCTTTTCATGTCTTTTAAAATACTTTCTACCCATCTTAATTGCTAAATTATCTTTCAGTTAGTTACAGCGCTTAATTTAAAACCTGTACTGTTTTCATCCTGAATTTAGAACATAAGATTTAGCCTTTGAAGTATAGTTTCAGACTTTACTAATTTGTTTAATATAATCCTTATTAACATGACAAAATGAAAGCCCTGTTGGGACTTAGTCTAAACAGTAGTCTTTGATCTGAAAGTGTCTCATATTTTGTGATCTATTAGAAACATAAACCTTTGCTTATGCAGAAGGTCTTTCTTAGAACAATCCTGTAATCTTAGGGTTCATGTGTGACTAGCATTATCCTCTCTTTGATGTTGGGTAATAGAGGCTGAACTTTTCTTGTGTATATATAGTTAGTTTTGAGGCCATAAATCTAGGACTTCTCAAAAGATTAGAACATTTATCCAGTAAACTGACTCCATTGAAGACTTCATTTCTGGAAATACCACATTGCTTCTGCTCTCAATAACTCTATCATTTACTCGTATAAATATTGCTAGCTGTAATGCACAGAGAAAAACTACCTCATTCAATCTAGATAATTGGGACATCCTTTTCCAGTAAACCCTTTTTCCACTACTGGATAAAATATTAAAATGATCAGTTTGAGTGTATGTTAGAGTTCATGTTTCTGTAACTAAAGGTGCTAATAAACTGAAATCAGATAAGGTAGGTTTTTCCAAAAATACTTCTAAATAATTGACAACCTAGAAGTCAACAATGTAAAATGCATATGGGACTCTATATTAATAGAGAAGCAGGCCAAGAACTTTTTAATGGGATAATTGTCTTCTTTAGGCACATTGTTTGCATATTAACGACATGGAAATATTTTCACTCATTTACTTTCATCCATCTATCTGTGCTTTTTCTCACTTTGATGAGTTCTCTCAACTCCTTTCTAAGAAAAGCAGAGCAGAGCAGCATAGAGTGCGTTAGTAAATGGCCACTGACTCTTGGTCTCAGGCCATAGCAACTATAGAGAGAAGAGTGGGGCTGGAGACCTCATACCCTGGGTAAAGTGGACATCACTTGTCAGCTCCAGCTAATTGTCACCACAGAGAGAAGAGGGTAAGTCTGAGATGTTCATGTGCATTTCCCTACATTTTAGAGGTTGACAAAATAGTTTGTGACTTTTGCTTACATTTGCATTCATAGAACTAAAAAAAATTTAACTTGGCTAACAAAATACCACATGCATATTTTCTTTTTTATTTTTATTTTTTGAGACAGAGTCTCTGTTACCCAGGCTGGGGGGCAGTGATAAGATCTTGGCTCACTGCAACCTCCGCCTCCAGGGTTGAAGCGATTCTTCTGCCTCAGCCTCCTGAGTAGCTGGAATTACAGGTGCCCACCACCACACCCAGCTAATTTTAGTATTCTTAGTAGAGACAGGATTTCACCATGTTGGCCAGGCTGGTCTCAAACTCCCGACCTCAACTGATCCACCCACCCTGGCCTCCCAAAGTGTCAGGATTACAGGCGTGAGCCTCTGCAACTGGCCAACATGCATATTTAAATTATGCATGCATTGTAGCTGTATACTGTGTGACCACATTTACTTAAAAAAGAGGAAAAAAGGTTACTTGCTTGAGACAGGAAACTATCACCTTTGAAAGCATATTAAGTAGTTGGCTTACTTTGGAACACACAGTAGACTGAAAATGTGAACTAATACTTTAAAATTGCCGTATAATGATGTCATTGCAAGCCATTCATCTATCCAATGGGGGAAAATGTGGAGGTCTAGGCTTGTGTTGTCACAAAATACACCTTTTAGATAATCCTTACCTGTACAGATTTTTATAACTGTTGTTATCATAAGAGAATGGCTACATCATTATCCTGCCTTTTCTGGGTGTTTATTTTGTTGTTTTTGAAAGTGGACAAAACCTCAAAGCACAATTTTGTTCTGATATATCCAGTTTAGTAGTTTATGCTGGTTAAATGATCAAAGTAATTGCTTAAATGTCTTGTGGAATTAGCTGTCACTTTATAGTTTATGTATTGTGGTGGGTACCTTAATAATAAAAAGATTTTTAATGTAATAATATTGCTCATAATTCATGAAAGCTACATGGGTAGTTGGGTTATTGTTTTGTCTAAGAAGCTAGGTTTATAGCATGGTAAATAAAAACTCAAGATTATAGCTTTCTTTTCTACTATTGAGCTCAATTAAAGGATAATGCATGATTAAAAATATATTTATAAAAATAATTCCAAAGCAAAATTTAGAAAAATGTAAACACAAATGTAAGCCCATCAGCCAACTACCTCCTTGAATCTTAACTCCATATCCTTCCTCAGATGGTGCTGACAAGATAGTGGATCAGGATGGCACCAGCACCTCTTTGGGGACCTTTCCCAGTTCTGATTGCTTTCCTTTACCCTGATTCAAACAGAAAGCTTGCCTTTTCATCTGATACCTGCATTTGTCTACTCACCTAGTCCTGAGCTTTTACACCACTGCTTGGGCTCTTATGACTTAGTTTTTGTTGTTAGCTTTATAAGGGCAGTGGTATGCTTTCTCAGCTTCTAATGTATGGCATATAATAAGTGCTCAATAAATAGTCCCTTTCCCTTGCTGCTTGCTTAATAATTGGAAATAACTCCCAGGAGATTTTTCATAACCTTCCCTTGTCAGCTCTTTTCCCTTCTGCTGATGCTTTCTTGCTGTGTAAGAGGACTGTTTTTCTAACAAAGACTTTTTCTCTGTCTCAAATAAAAGAACATTATCTTTGGGGATAAAGAAAACAAAGCAGTTTCCACTGAATTACCATTTATCAGAGGTCTTGAACAGAACTAACTTCCCCTGGTCTGACTTTAAAGGAACCTGACTCCTTCCTTAGAATGTAACTTTTCAATTACTTCTCTGCCAAGGGCAACATGTTAAAATAAGGAGAGCGATTTAACTACACCTGTGTCACCTTGTTTAATTATAGCCTAAGTGGAAAAAGTAGATTATATTTCTCCGGTGAATAATAGAGACAGTAGATTGCCTGAGTAAGGGGGGTGGACAGGATGGTGGAGGATGGGTGTGGGGTGGCACCCAGGAGTCTTAGGAAACTGCTGCTGGTCAGCAACAGCAACGCCTATAATCCCTAGGGGAGAGAACCTCATGGGGAAAGAGCTCAGTGGCACGGAGCTCCACTGGGAAAGTAGCTCAGCCCAGACCACTCACTCATTTTCCCCAAGCATGGTGTGAAAGCAGAGAGCCCTGGACTTCACAAAGCCATGGGGCACTTTGACACTAGTCATCAGTGTGGATGAAAGAGAGTAAAGATTCCCTTTCAGTCCTGTGGGATAGAGATTCAGATTGTCAGGTTGATTTTAAAAACATGACATTTTTGCACACCAGAGTTTACAGTTGCAATTCATATCTGCTTGAAACTTCCCTAATTCATGAAGGTAATAACCTTTTTGACACATAGGCATATGAGGTGGGGTCCCTAAAACATTGATTGGGTAACATTAAACCCCATTGGGTATCCTAAAATGGTATTCTTCAAACATGAATAATGTGTGTTTAAACAGTTTTTCATGAACCCAAGGAATACCTCATATTGAAAAATACCAACAAAAAAACTAGAGTCTCGTTCTTCAGAAGGTCTTAAAATTGCAAATCTCATTGCAAAAGAGTTGTTTTTATAACTGGTAAGAGAATTTTTTCAACTTTTATTTTAAATTCAGGGGATACACATGCAGATTTTTTACCTGGGTATATTGTGTGATGCTGAGGTTTGGGGTCTGAATGATCGTCACTCAGGTACTGAGCACAGAACCCAAGTTTTTCTTTTTCTTTTCTTTTTTTTTTTTTTTTTTTTTGGTGGAGCAATCAGAACACATACAACATTTATTGATTAGGGTTTGCCATCTTATATGGGTGTGGTTTGTCGCACCCCCAAAACAATTATGATAGTAACATCCAAGATCACTGATCACACATCACCATGACAGACATAATAATAAACAGGTTTGAAATATTGTGATAATTACCAAAAGGTGACACAGAAACACAAAGTGAGCACACACTGTTGGATCAACAGTTTTTGAATTCTTGCCCCACTCCCTCCCTCCCACCTCAAATAGTCCCGTGTCTATTGTTGTCATATTTATGTGTAGCAAATGTTTAGCTCCCACTTATGAGAACATGTGGTATTTGGTTTTCTGTTCCTTTGTTAATTTGCTTAGGATAATGGCCTCCAGCTGCATCTATGTTGCTGCAAAGAACATGCTTTCATTCTTTTACATGGCTGTGAAGTATTCCATGGTGTATGTGTACCACATTTTCTTTATCCAGTCCACCATTGATGGGTACCTAGGTTGATTCCATGTCTTTGCTATTGTGAATAGTGCTGCTATGAACATGTGTCTTTTTGGTAGAATGATTTATTTTCCTTTGGGCATATACTCAGTAATAGGTTGAATGGTAATTCTGTAATATAATTTTTTAAAAAATTATCAAAGCCAGGCATGATACCCTGTAATCCTAGCTATGTGGGAGGCTGAGATGGAAGGATTACTTGAGCCTGAAAGCTGGAGACCAGCCTGGGTGACATAGTGAGACTTCATCTCAAATAATAAAAAAGTGGAAAAATAAAATAAAAAAGCATTCCCTAAAAATTCTTACACAACTCGGCCGAGCGCGGTGGCTCACGCCTATAATCCTAGCACTTTGGGAGGCTGAGGCGGGCAGATTGCCTGAGCTTAGGAGTTCGAGACCAGCCTGGGCAACAATGGTGAAACCCCGTCTCTACTAAAATACAAAAAATTAGCCGGGTGTGGCAGCAGGCACCTGTAGTCCCAGCTACTTGGGAGGCTGAGGCAGGAGAATCGCTTGAACCCGGGAGGCGGAGGTTGCAGTGAGCCGAGATCGCGCCACTGCACTCCAGCCTGGGCAACAGAGCAAGACTCCATCTCCAAAAAAAGGAAATTCTTACACAACTCATGTATTCTTGAGACTGCATCTGTAATCCACTTATAGTTTCCTTAATGAAACACTAGTAATTTGTCTCCCCAAATTGACTTTGTTCTTTACGTGATTCAAAACTAGATTCTCATGTATTAAGTTTGGATAACAATGGCTCTGGAAATGTTTATGAGGGTACATTTTGGAAATCGAGGGAGTTTAGCCTGCACAAGAAACATGATAGGGATATGTCTCTGAACTATCTGAAAACTGCTATTCATTGGAGGAGGAATTCACCTTGGGAGGCTGAGGCGGGAGGACTGCTTGAGCCCAGGAGTTTGTGACCAGCGTGGGAAACATGGTGAAACCACATCTCTACAAAAAATTAGCCAGGCACATGCCTGTAGTCCCAGATACTCAGGAGGCCAAGGCAGGAGGATCACTTGAACTCAGGAGGTTGAGGCTGCAGTGAGTCATGATCTTGCCACTGCACTCCAGCCTGGGCAACAAACTGACCCCCTGTCTCAAAAAACAACAACAAAAAAAGTGATGAGAATATTACTTTCCCAAACAACCATTTATGAACAGTTCTGTTAGAAAATTATATTTGGTGGACTTTCCCTAAAACTTCTCTTTTTGGTACAAGTACTCGCTTGTCTTTTGAGGCCAAAGGTAGATTGAGATCATACCTGCTTTCATTCCACACTAGTGATTCATAATGGCAAACTCCCTAAGTTCTTTTTCTAACATGTATTGTTTCCAAGAACGATATCCTGCATATGCATTTGTTTTTTGGACACAAGTCTAGATGATTCTTAATTATTCTCAGTCTACTACCATTATGTTAGACTTTTAGAAGTGAACCTTCTAGGAAAGTTGCCATTTGGTAACCTCAAAAGATGTGCCTTCAAAAAGTGAGTGAACTCATTTCTTTTTTTTAAATAATGGTTCCTTAACATTTGAAATACAAGTTCTTGTCTTTGGTTTATATATTATTGAGGTGTTGGTTTTTAGCATTTAAAGTAGTTTAAGCTGCAAATTTCTCATATGGCAAATTTATTCTAATCTCTGAAACCATCTGTTAATTGGAATTTCTATAGCATTTAAAGAGCTTGATTTGGAGGATGTCAATTACGATACTGGTGGCATAGTAGCAAATCCTATTAGGAGTCAGATTAGTCCTAGTTTTTATGATCCTTAGCAAGTTTAGTAAAAAACCTAATAAAACAATAACAGCAATGAATACTTAAATAGCAGCACTATGTGTCAGACACTGTTCGAGGCCCTTTATAAACTTTAATTCTTGAAAAAACTGGAGGAAACAGACACAGAAAATTTTCTAACTTCCCCTGGATCACACAGCTAGTGGTGGAACTAGTATAGAAACCCATGTCGCTGGGTCCAGAGCGACATGGGTCTGAGCCGTTGTGCTCCACCAGCTCTTCCAGTCTGGGGATGGGGAGCACCGTTTCAGAGCAGCACTTACACCATTTTTGGCAAGTGGTCATTCAGGACTCACTGGAGCATTTCCATTACATATTGGGTTTCTTCTACCATGAAAGCTAACCTCACCATTTATATTATATTCCCTCTGTTTTCCAAGGGTCTTGCTCTTTTGAATATTTTTTCTCTGTCTTCAATCTTCAACATTCTTTGTAGTACAGTATTGTCACTATCTATATTTTTTCCACATAATACTGGCTTCTTTCCACCAGCATTTGAATGGCAAATCCCTTAAAATTTAAAATTTAAAACAAATTTAAAATTTAAAAAATCCTCCCCTTTCTGTGATCCACCCGCTCGTCGCCTCTTGAGTTGCCTCCATTCTGCCTCCCCTTCTTCAACCTGTTCTAATCTAGCCTTTAGCCTTACTGATTTAGAGAAACTGCTCTTCACCAAAGTCACCCATGACCTTTTACTAATCCCAACAAACATTTTTGTCTTTGTCTTTTGGAAGCCTGTAACTTGGCTGCCCACTCTCTTCATGCACCCCCTCTTTTACCTTGAGGTTTGTGACATCTTCTAGCCAAGTTCCCTTCTTACCTCTCTGGCCCTTCCCAGTTTCAAGGTTTCTAGTGACTCTCTGCCCTAGGGATTTGCTTCCTTCCCACTCTACAGAGTCAGCCTAAGTTTTTTCAGCCACTTGTGTGGCTTCCTTTTCTTGATATATATGTAGATGGCTTGCAGATCTTTAGCTTACAGCTCTCTGCTGAGCTTCACACCCATATTTTTAGGTCTTATAGTTTATCTCACTTGGATAGCTTGCAAGCTACCTTAGATATGTACAATCTGAACTATACCCTTTACATACACACTGACATACACAAGCTGTTTTTATTTCTGTTTCCTCTCAGAGAATCATCTGTCTACCCAGTTGCTCAAAACAAATCGTTTTCTGACACTTTCTCTTCCCTTACATCACCTCTCCCCCAATTCCCCCACCCCCAACAACTAAATACCATTATTTTAATTCAGGCCATCGTGAACTCAAATGTACTATTCTGATAGCCTCCTAAATGGTCTGTCTGCTGCAAGTTACATCACCTTACAACCCCAAAGTGATCTTTCTAGAGTGATCCTGCTGCTCCTGCTTAAATTACTTTGAAGGTCTTCACTTTGTCATTAGGATAAAGTCCAAACTCTTCCTTGGCTAAGCCTCACTCTACTTGCTTCTCCAACTTTATCTTTTACGACTTTGTCTCTCCTTGATAGTTCCAGTCAAGTTTAAGTTCTTTAGTTTACTGAAAGGGTGATGTGTGCCCTCTCCACTCTGAGCCTTCATGCTTATTTTCTCTTCTGCTGGCATATTTACCAATACTGCCAAGTACCTGGCAAATGTTTACAATTTTTCAGGTCTCATCTTCAATGTAACTTCCTCTGGAAAATCTTTACTGACTACACCTTGCCCCCCCAGCTAGACCAGGTCAGATATCCCTGCTGTGTGCTTACTGTAGCATTTCATGGCATTTCTGAAACTTTCCTGTAATTGTAGAGATGGCAGGGACTTTGCTTGTACTGTTCACTGTTGTCTCTCCAGTATAGCGCCTAGTGTTTGGCACCTAGAAAATGTGCAGTCAGTATTTGTTAAATGAGAAGATACTACTTCCAATGGCATATTCTTTGAGCACCTAATTATTTAGAAGTTTCTTGTGTTAAGTGGAACTTTGTAACTTCTTTTTTTTTGGAGTCTAGCTCTGTCTTCCAGGCTGGAGTGCAATGGTGCGATCTCAGCTCACTGCAACCTCTGCCTCCCGGGTTCAAGCAATTCTCCTGCCTCAGCCTCCCAAGTAGCTGGGATTACAGGTGCCTGCCATCACGCCCAGCTAATTTTTTGTATTTTCAGTAGAGACGGGGTTTCACCATGTTGGCCAGGCTGGTCTCAAACTCCTGACCTCAAGTGATCCACCCGCCTCGGCCACCCAAAGTGCTGGTATTACAGGCGTGAGCCACCGCACCCAGCCTGTCACTTCTATTTAATGATTCTGGTTCTATACCCTAAGGAACACAAAGAACAAATCATTAGACAGCCTTCAAATGAATAAAGGAATGTGCTCTGTGCTTCTATTTCACATAGGGCATGGTGCCTAGAATTGAACAAGCGCCTAGGTGTGGCCTGACCTCAGAGTAGAGTGGAACCATCACTATGCTCATTTGACAGCCTATCCTAGTAATAAGGTAGATTGACATCATATCTGCTTTCATTCCACTAGTGATTCATAATGGCAAACTCCCTAAGTTCTTTTTCTAACATGTGTTGTTTCCAAGAATGATCTCCTGCATATGCATTTGTTTTTTGGACACAAGTCTAGGAGCTTACATTTCTTCTTGTTAAACTCATCCAAGTTGATGATGTTAAACTCATCCAAGTTGATGATGTTAAACTCATCCAAGTTGATGTTGAAGCAACATGCCAGTTGGCTAACATGGGGGGGATTTTAGTTCTGTCACTGTATTTGTTTTTCTACCTACTTCATGACATCTAATTTATAAATAAATCTTACTAGCCATATAATCAGAGACAAGGAACTTAAGCCTGTTTCTTCATGTGTAAATGGGGCTGATAACAGGATCAGGGTTGCTGTGAAGAATACATGTGCATATGTTCCCAGAAAACATAGTGCAGTTCTTGGGACACGATATGTACTCAATATATGTTAGCTATTATTATTCATATAATTGATAACAAAGTTGAATAGGGCAGGTAGAGGCAGATGCCTTTGTGACATCACTCAAAATCATTCTTCTAGGTTTAGACATATTCATTAATAATGGTTTCATGTCGCCCATTTCTATTTATTTTGCCCACAAAAACATTTTAGAGAACTTTGAAATGCCTTTCTCAAGTATAATATGATGTTTCTTAGATTTATTGCCTAGTACTCCTCAACCCTCAAAAAAAAAGAGAAAATTTTGTTTTCCTGATTTGTTCTTAGTGAGCTACCCAAACAACTTTTTGCCAAGACTTTTTGAATACTACCCTTATTTCTTTTTAAGACCTAAAAATACATAATAAATAAATAAATCTACCTACTAAGATTATACGAAGTGATTTATTGATACTGGTTAACATCCATTATATACAGGTAGAAACTTTCAAAATTGTACAAAGAACCATTAAGCATATTGATAAAGACAGTTTTACAGACAAAACAACTGGAAAATAGTTTTAACATACACAATATATAATTATGAAAAAAATGTAGAACACATATTGTTCTACCAGATAAATCCCAAGGTTATTAAAAGTCTGCTATGCAGACCTTAAGTTGAAAAATGTGTTCAATGGAGTTACATGGTTTTAGAAAATTAAGTATAATGTAAAAATTAAGCTTTTTTTTCTCATTGCAATTGGGAGAGGAACTGAGACAACTTTTTACCCCAAATCTATACAGTTTGAAAAATAATTTATATGTCTAGCATAAAGAAAATTGAGAATGTTTATGGTTCTGTAAACTTTGCCTTTTATGAAATGCAAACCACATCAGTTTTAAAAATTAGAAACTGTGCAATCAGAAACAGATTGTTCCCTTTATGGTACAATTGTACCTTAATTGGCTTTATACCTGAGCACCAAAGCTGAAGTTCTAAATGCCATCTCTTCCTGGAAAGTTATTCTGAAAATGAGCAAGAAATCAAAACTAGCCTATTATCATCTAGAAAATTAGGCACCAAGAAGGAGATTATCTCCTTGGAAATGCAACATCAATGACAGAGAAGTTTCAATTAATTAAGCAGCTGACAGATCTCCTTGTGAACACAACAAAGGAAATCCACATAAGAAGAGCCTCCGTAAAGTCCTTTGTCTTCTACCAGGAACTGTCGGAAAACCATTTCTGGTTGTTCTCGCTGCTTTACAATTGTGAGCTAGGAAAAAAAAAACAAAACAGTAACAGCCCCTGGTTATAAACATTATTTGAAAATGGGTCAATTTTGTCTATTTCAATTTTGGCAAACATTATTGAATGCCCATTATGTGTGAGGCTATGGAGGATGATGGGAAAGTGCCTGATATCTAGAGTGGAAAGAGGCATGGACCCCGAAACCCCAAAACCTAAGACATACAATTTTAAGTGGCAAAAATGAAACCTAAGCAGAGTGTTACGGGAAAGGCTTCACAGTGATAGTAACTGTCCCCTGAGCCTTAAAGGATAGGGGTAGGGCTAGAAAGTGTTCCATACTGGAATACATGTGCCATGTACCAGAGATACAATTATGGCTGGCATGTAAATTATCACAGGCTTCTTCTAAAAGGGACAAATTATCATCATAATGAGTTTGGGTTTCTGTAGGAAATGTGATCCAGTGAAGGTGCAGAAGAATGAAATGAGAGAGTTAAGTGGCAGCAGTATGTACAATACATTCGTGAGATGAGGGACACTAGATAGGAAGTGGTTTGAAGTGTCTGGGTGGGAGATGATCAGGTTCTGAATTAGAGCAGTGGAGGTGGAAAGGGGGTAGATTGGAGAGATGCTAGAGAGGTTAACACACAGGGAAAACAGGGAGAACTCCTGTCCTTTGCTCATCATGATTCTCTAGACCTGTGCTGTCCAGTACAACAGCCAGACACACATACTATTGAGCATTTAAAATGTGGCTCATCCAAATTGAGATGTGCTGTAAATATAAGATTTCTATATTTTCTATATAAGATTCTAGAAAAAAATAGATTTCTAGACTTAGTATGAAAAATAAAATATAAAAATATCTCAATAATTGATACAGATTACATATAGAAATTATATTTTAGATATACTGGGTTAAATTAATTATTTAAATGAATTTTTTCTTTTTAAATGCAGTCATCAGAAAACACAGAATTGCATATTCATTTGCATTACTGGAGAGTGCTGCTCTAAGAAGAAACCCACAGGGAAGAAGCCCAGAAGAGAGGCAGTTTTGTCATGAACACTTTGAACCCTTCTTTCTACACCTGTATTCCTACTTGAGGAAGTCAAGGTAGATGATCTGAATTGTCATAATTTCATATTTATTGCGCCACAAGTGGGGTTAACTGAGCCACACATGCACAACAATGCCTCTCCACCTGCCTCCTGTGTAATTAAGAGGAGCGAGGGTATTTCTCACTTCTTCCTCTCAGGAGGTAAACCCACCAGAAAGGCCTGCAATAGGGAAACACATGCAGTTAGCTGCTTCACCAGCTGCAGCAGGGAAGGTATGTGCAATTTTGGCTAGGAGGGCAGGGCCCTCCCTACTTTTGCATTCTATGCTTTTTAGTTATCAAGCAGAGAGTAACTCTGTCAACACCACTTGCTTTTTTCCTTTATAACGTTTCGGCCTGGATCCAAGTCTGTTAGGTTTTAAGTTGCCCCGACCTAGTAAAAATAATAATATATAAGAACAACTGCTGTTGCCACAACTCAGCTAATTCCATGTGGATACAGATATGTGTGATGCCTTGGCTTTTGGGTGTCAGCTCTAGGTACTGGGAGTTGGCACTGGAATAGCTGTGTGCATAGGCAGATTCCACTCCTACATGGGGAAGCAAAACTAACCCTTAATGAGATTTCTCCAAAGAAGTTTAAGATTTGCCTCCTGATGAACCTGAAGTCAGGATTCTTTTCATTTTATGTTTTATCCACCCTCTCCCACATGCCACTACAACTTTACTATTGTCCATGATTGGTAGGGGCAGTGTGGGTCTAGCCTCTGACACAATTCAGACTGAGGCTGGGCAGGATAAGACATTGAAGGAGGAAAGACTTGAAGTTCCAATTTCTTTAGAATTTACTTTCTTTATGGAAATTAATGGAAAGAAGGTCAGATTGCTCATCTGAGGTATTTTCTATTGCTGCCATTCACTTGGGTTTTTTTTTTTGTTTTTGTGTGGTGCTCATTGTACAACCTCCTCTGACAAAAGTGTCTCGCTATGAGCTGAGGTGGTAAGTAGAACAGGGAATGAATGTCAGCCTTGGGAGAAACTTAGCTTTAAGCTACAGTGATTAATATCCTATCCTACCATTTGATTATCTACAGGTGTCAGGATGACACAGAAAGTATAGTGGAAGGTCTCAGGGGAGTGGAGTCATGGAAGTGGTATTGGCCTGTCTTGACACAGTGATGGTCGTCTCTTCAAGGGGCACACCCACACCAATAAAAGGAAAGCATACTGGTATGGATTGGTAGATCCATCTTTATTTCCCCGCTTTACATTTCTAAAGGGAGGGGGATGGCCCTATAGAGTAGGAAGAGAACATTAAAATAATCACTGCTTGTCACCTCCTTGCTTCTTGTGTGCCTTCTCCAAGGGAAGACTGGCTAACTCTGAATGTGACATTCTCTGGGTCACCTTACCAGAGGTCTTAAAGAATTAATGTGCTTCAAAAGCCAATCTCATCTTTCATTGGCTGACTCACAGGGAATCGCTAAAGCATGGGAGTGATTAGGAAGGCCCAGGTAGAACATGTTGAGCGAGAAGAGAGCCATGATACAACCCTCGGGGAATACCAACTCTTAAGTGGCAGATGAATGAAGAGAAGCCTATGAAAAAGAGTCACTGAGAAAGAAGAATCAGGAGCAGGGGATGTTTTGAAAGCTGACAGGAGAGAATTTGAGGAAGTAGTCAACCTTGTAAATGCATAAAAGGATTGAGAATCAATTGTCTTTAGCAATTTGGCAGTTTACAGAGAAGTGGAGAGATGAGAAGAAGGAAAGAGCAGTTAATATAGACTTTTTCAAGGAGCTTGGTTGTAGAATGTTTGGTATATTGCCGGTGTTCAATAAATATTTGTAGAATGAATGAGGAAAGGGAAGCAGAATCTTGGAGAAGTGGCAGCTTCTATGAAGGTAGATTTGAACAGCTTGTAAACTGGAAAAGGGCCAATGGGAAAGGAATAATCTAGAAAATACAAGTGGAAGGAGAGAGAATAAAAAACATTTGGAGCACAGAGAACTGTGCAGGGCAGGACTAGAATTTCTCAGGAAGGCACTTGGTTTCGGTCATCTGTAGATATACTGTGGTAGAAATCTTTTTTTGTTGTTGTTCCCCACAGAGAATAATCTGACAATAAGGTCTAAGAGGACTGTTTTTGAAAAAGTAATTAGCATAACCTGGAAGGTAGCAGTTCCTTCTAGATTTGATTTTGTTACTCTTGATCCTTCCATACCAACTCTTTTCTCCTACCTAATCTTAACCCTTTAAAAGTATGTTTTCATTTCCTTTGTTTAGTCAGTTTTCAAGTGTCAGAGAAAGGGTGGAATGCTAAGTGCACTGGGACTAAGCAGCTAGTACAAGCCCTGTATCTGCTATGATCCAGTTGTGAGACCCGGACCAAGCTAGTGAGCTCCTTTGAGCCTCACTTTCATGTCTGTGATGTGCAGCTACAGGAAGCCAGGTATCTCCCAGATTCCTTTCAACTCTGACATCTGTAGATTTTAGATATTTCTAATTCTTTATAGAGATAGCACTCTATGAACAGATGGATACATTTGCAGATAGTACATAAGAAAATCTGATTCTTTAAGTATTCAAGCTAAAATTGTTTTATCACACAGGTGCTTAATATTTTATTCACATATAATATTTGAAGCTCACCCCCAGATGGTTTTATAACCAAAGCTGACATAACTTTGATAAGTGGTTGGAACAGGTGGGAGAAAGCAGAGGAAAGTTTAATGTTTTTCCCTGAAGGAGGAACTACTGAGCACAAGGATGATCTCCATGCTTAGTCTTGCCTCTTTTCTGCAAATGCCCAGTTGGAGGGATGCAGTTGCTGCAGCTGGGATGAAGGTGAATCATTATTGCTGTGCATTCTAAATACCAGTGGCTTTCAGTTTGCATTTCCTGAGACTCAAGATTTGGTTACATGTTTCTAGGGCATTCAGAGAGAATGCCCTAGAAAAACGTGTAACCAAATCTTAAGAGAATGTGTTTAGTTTGAGCCTTGTCTGTCATCTCTAGGTCCTGCCCTTAAACTGAACCATAGGTGCTGTGTGGTGTGAAAACTGTTCTAGAAAAGTTGTGTATTCATCCAGATGTCATTAGTTCAATTTACCTAAGCTCTACCTAAAGTTGATGTTTGCATGCATGAGTTACTTTCACAGTTACGAATGTTGGTTCAGATTGACATCACATTTACATTTCAGGAGACAACTGGCCCCATAAATACCCTGGCACTTGTAGACACGTGCCTCCAGCTGAGTGTCTTATAGCTCTTCAGTAAGCAGTGTTACACAGCACATCATCATCATCTATACATTCTAGATCCCAGGAGACTCTAATATTGAGCTTGGGAAGGAAAACAAGTAAGTATCTGGAACGTGGCAACAACATATAATTTTCTTGGGTTCTAGACATATTAAAATTTTTTACTCAAACTCAGAAAAGGCTAGAAGGGCTTGGAAGGACAAGAATAACAAAACTTTTCAGAGATTATAAATTAAACATTGTAATAAATCAAATTTTACAAATGTTCTAAATGATACTTTTATAATTAAGTAATTTTAGGCACCAGAAGAAAAGTCACTTCAAAGTCTGTTAATGGTACCAATTGCTATTAAATCATGAAGTTAATACTGACTTAAGATACCCCATAGTTAACCCATGGTAATAGCCATTTATGTTTGTGACTGGTAAGTAGGTAGATATACTTAGAGGTTAATGTGAGGTTTTTTTAACTTTTATTTTAGATTTGTGATGGTGTGAGTTTTTAAAATCAAAGATCACGTCATAAAAATATAGGGTGTGCATGTTAAGTCTTTAATGAAATTTTTAACATTTGAATAAAGGGAAAAATAAAATTGCTTTCTTACCTTCATTGAATATGGCCTCTTTTGTTGGATAATACCCATTATCATTCTGAGTTGTTGAGAGTATGGGTTTCCCACTTCAGGCAGCAATGTCTTAGATTTAAGAAAATCAAAGTTTTAGTACAGTTTATAACATTTAGATAGAAGTAGCAATATGAGATTATCATAATGTTAAAAACATAAAACCATGTACTTGAACATTGGTGTAGTTCATTACCTGAAAACCAAAACTGTGGGGAAAATGCACTAAAAATTATTGGCACCCATTCCCATAATTGACAGAAGACAATTATTTCTGTCTTTTGGAAAAAACTCTTCCTCTGGAATTTGACACATGTACATCACTGAAATGATACAGCACAGACGTAGTCAGCCCTCTGTATCCATGGGTTCTGCATCCATGGATTCAGCCAACCACAGACAAAAATATTATTTGTAAAAAATGCATCTGTACTGAAAAGGCATGGATTTTGGGTTTTTTTTGTCATTATTCTGTAAACAATATAGTTTAACAACTATTTACATAGCATTTTATATTGTATTAGGTGTTATAAGTAATCTTTTTTTTTTTTTGATAGAGAGAGGGTCTCACTATGTTGCCCAGGCTGGTCTTGAACGCCTGCACTCAAGCAATCCTCCCGCTTCAGCCTCCCAAAGTGCTGGGATTATAGGTGTGAGCCACCGTGCCCAGCTGGTGTTATAAGTAATCTAGAGATGATTTAAAATATATGGGGGTATATGTACAAGTTATATGCAAATACCATGCCATTTTATATGAGGGACTTCAGCATCTGTTAATTTATAGAGTATTCTGGAACCAATTCCCCATGGATACCAAGAGACAATAGTATATGTTTTATGCAAACAACTTCCTGTGAAAGTTTGATCCCTTTTCAAGATTCAAGGCTATGTTGCGAGAGAAAAGAATGTACTTTGTTCCTTCAGTGGATGGAAAATTCCATCCAAGTACTACTGTTCCGGCATTAAAACAAACTACCAAATGTTGATTTCTCAAAGGGAATGCAGCGTCTTAGATAGCCCAGAAATCTGGTTAGTGGTCTACAGGCCAATCCAGCTGCACGTGGCATCCAGGTGATATGAAGGATTTTGACTTACATTTCTTCCGTTAAGACAGAGTAAAATGCTAATGTTTGCTTCTCAGCAAGAAGATGCCAACAGCCAATGCATCACTGTGAGTTGGCCAGAGAACATGTGAGTTAGAATGTTTCACCATAAACCTCAAGTGTCAGGAAAAGTTTATGGTCAATGTTTTTCACAGGAGTAAGGAAAGCAAAAAATTCATTATTTACATTCACACTCCCATCCCCTATATGCATTATGTGGCATATTATGGTAGATCTATTTATTCAACAAACAACGTAAGTATTCTTCATGTATGTGTTTTAAAGTGCCAGCTGCCTCTAAAAAGAAAGTAGCTTACATTTGGTTTTTAACTTTGTTTCATTTTGTTGATGAAAGTCAAGGAAATACCAGTATGCTGATATAAGCACAGACCTACCAATCTGCTGCCTTGTGGTAGAGACACTGGCTATTTCCTGTGGATGTTCAGTTCAGCAACTATGCATTCAGCATTTACTATGTCAATATATTACAAGAGGAAGCTTCCTTAACTTTTATATAAACATTCTTCAGACTCATAGTTCTTTGCCTACTGAATTTTATTTTTTTAAATTGCATTTATAATCATTTCTTAATTTCAAACATATGCAGATATCAATTTCTAAATCTTCATCTTAAAACCAATCTCTAACTGGAATATTGATGCCCCTGAATTCTCTTAAAAATACACTTTTGACATTCCTCATGAATATGCAGCTCTCTAAACTGATCACCTGTCATGGCCTTGAATTTTAATCTTGCCTCTTTCTGCAAGATGCTATATATATTGATAAACTGTACTTCATACAATTGGGTTCAACAACTAGACTTAAGCCATCTTGCCACAATGTAAGTGAGCCTTCAGGAAACTAACTATCTGCTGAGCTCTACTGGAATCCACTATCAGAGTCAAACAATAGCCATCGGCAGTGATGCTCACACAACAATGGTCTACAAATAACGTTTGCAATAAATGTTGACTCTTGTACAAATTATAAGCTGGGTTTTCCTAAGATACTTTAAAATAGTCATTTGTATTAATTTAACATCAAACTCACAATTTCTTTTGTTGTTATTGCAACAGAGGGGTGTATAGTCTCTTTTTATGGAATTATTATTTGTTAACTCAGTAATCTGATTTAGTCTGTAGCCAAACACTTATGAAAGATTTCTACATTCTTCTGAGTATGCAGTTCAGCACCAGGGATGAGTCCAGAGCATAAGAACTGAATTCAGTTCCCATCTCTGCCACTTTACTACCTGAAGGAACTTGTCTCCAAGCCTCAACTGATTCCTCTGTAAAATGTTGAGACCATATCCATCTCACTGATTTGTTATGACAATTAACTGAAATGGTATATTTAAGTATTTAGAGTACAGAGACTGGCACATAGTTAATGATCTGGAAGTGTTAGCATTTTCTATTAAAGTCACATATTTTAGTTGTTTGAAAGTACTCTATACAAATAACTTTATACCAGCTAATTGATATTGATCAAAACATGAAATTATTTCTTTCATATACAGAAATATATGCCTTATTATTTTTCTTTCTGTAATATTTGACTGCACATAAATAAAAACATTTACGAATTTATATTTTTCATATTACCACAAAAGCAATGAAAATAATACTTACCATATCTGTGTTGATATGTGCAAAAGATGGCACATTAAATATTCCTTGGATCAGTTCTGGTGGGCTGCTTACTCCCAACCACAGGAACATGTGTAGACCATTAGCCAGTAAGAATATTCCTTCTTCTGAAAGACGGGACTCAGAGCAACGAACGGCAGCAGGTAACATTGTACTCTTGACATCTAACGTGTGCTGGGCAGGCACAGACAAAAGAGTTAGAAACTCCTTTCTTCCCCTTCCCTTCCCTCCTTCCTCTTTTCCTTTCCTTTTTCCTCCCTCCCCTCCCTCAATGCATAGTGAGTACCTATTATGTGCCAGACTTTATTCCAGTCATTAGAAAATAATCCCTACCTTGCACAGCAAATGGTTTTGTGCAGGGAGGAAGAGACAACACATAAAATAAGTAAAATATACAGAATATAGATGGTGTGAAGAGTTATGAAGAAAAGATGCACAAAAGTGGGATGGGGTGTGTCGCTGATAAAGGTGCGGACAAATTTTAACTAGGGTAGTCCAGGGAGCCCACAAACTTTTAAGAAGGTAACCTGAGGAGGTAAGAGAAGGTGCCATCGGGACAACTGGAGAAGACCATTTCAGATGGAAGGAAAAGCTAGTGCACTGGTCCTAAAGCAAGGGCCCAAATGGAGTGTTTGAGGATCAGCATGAAGCCCAGTGTGGCTGAAGTGGGATGGGGAAAGGGAGAGTAACAGAAGATTTCTAGAAGGGAGGGGAGGGCGGGGCACACAGCACTGGGCCAGGGTGGTAGGAACTGAGATGGGAAATCCTGGAGTGTTTTGAGCAAAGAAGTAATACGAGCTGACAATTTTATTTTATTTTATTTTTTGAGACGGAGTCTTGCTCTGTCACCCAGGCTGGAGGCACTATCTCGGCTCACTGCAACCTCCACCTCCCTGGTTCAAGCAATTCCCCTGCCTCAGCCCCCCACGAGTAGCTGGGATTACAGGCACATACCACCACGCCCGGCTAATTTTTTTGTATTTTTTAGTAGAGATGGGGTTTCACCATGTTGGCCAGACTGGTCTCAAACTCCTGACCTCAGGCAATCTGCCCGCCTTGGCCTCCCAAAGTGCTGGGATTACAGACGTGAGCCACGGCACCTGGCCAGAGCTGACAATTATTTTAACAGGATGCCCTAACTTCTGTGCTGAAAACAGACTGAAAGAGACGCAGAACTCCTCAGATTCCCTCCCCTCACCATAGTGAACACATACTGATGCACATAAGCAACTTGCAGAAAGAGCCCCTGCTCGAAATCCCACACCATATATTTTGAAGGCATTTGTGACTTTAACTTTCCTCTTAAGAACAACATATTTCAGATATAACATACGGGAAAGCACAAAATATGATTCCCTTCCAGCCTCCTCTGGGAAATGCACCACCCCAGCATGCTTACTATGGGCAGAAGTTGTGGGTAGAAGAAAAGCTGAGAGTCAGCCACACCCATGGTCATGACCAGCTGTCTCTGGTATGCTCGTTCATCAGTTGAGATCTCTGGTCTGCTGAGTAGTACACAGTTTTTCAACAAGCAATTCATGTACACTGGCAATACTTTCATGGAATCTGGTAGAATAAGCTGAAAAAGACAATTTTTTGTTTCATACGCTTGATCTTTACTGAGAACAATTCCCTGAGCTTCATCTGTAAGACTGAAACATTATTTGCTTCTGAACTTGTAAGGATGTAAGGATTAACTGGTAACCCATGTAAAACACCTAGAGCACACAGTAACTGGCACAGAGTAGGCATTCAAAGAGCAGCAGTTGTTTTTATTTTATCTAGTGCTACAGCAGTCTGGTGTAGCTGTTATCAGCACTACCCACTCACTGCTTAGGATGCAATCCCAGCTCTGTCTTTTAGCAGGTGTGTGACCCTGGGCAAATTACTTACCCTGTCTTTTTCTCAGTGTTTTTTTTTTTTAGCTGAATATGGAATAATAGTATATCTACTTCATAATTGGGTTATGATAATTAAATGATTTGTAAAGCACAATAGTGCCTAGCACATAGGATATACCATATATATATGTTTAGATATATACATAGTTTAATAAAATTTTTTAAAAATGATTTCATAACCTATATTTCCACTTCAAGAATAGCATTTCTAACTGCCAACAGGATATCTCTTCCGTTATGCTTTTCATGCATCTTAAACTCATCAAAAAAATATTAAATGCCATTGTGTCATAGGTTCTGTGCAAAGTGTCAAGGATATAAAAAGGAATAAGGCATAGTCCATGTTGTAAGATGCTTGAAGTTCGCTGGGGATAGACATATAAATACATAAAACATAATAAAGAGATTGCAGTACTATAGATTAAAAAAGGAAATGCTTCATGCATTTAGATGTGTCATTAATGAATGATAACATGCAAAATCAAACTCCTACAATTCCACAAACACGTTCTTCCTCCCATGTTTCCTATTCAGTGTAGAACTTCCAGATGAACCCTAATTCATTTATTTCTTTACCCTCAATTAATAAACAAATCCTTTTAATTCTACCTTCATAATCTACCTGTACCTTCTCTCCACCCTCACTTTGGCTCACATGACCTCATTCTAACTGCCCCAAAGTACATGCCCTTGTGAGATACTACAACCTAACACAATGCAGCAATTCTAGGAACACAACCTGATGATTTAAGAAATTATAGTGTCCTATATTGTTTAACTTTCTCCTAAATCAATATTGTTAGAATAGCTAATAATCAAGTTTGACTGATCTGAATGTCACTTCCTTCCACTTAATAGCACAAGTCAGTGAACAAGGACATATCCAAAAGAAAAATTATACATACGAGATAATAACTTGCAAACAGATAAATGAAATATCTGATCTATAAATTAATGGTTTCTTTTTAGCTTTCTCTCTTTTTTATTTTTATTTTTTGAGATGGAGTCTCACTCTGTTGCCCAGGCTGGAGTGCAGCGGCGCAATCTCGGGTCACTGCAACCTTGCCTCCTGGGTTCAAGTGATTCTCCTGCCTCAGCCTCCTGAGTACCTGGGATTACAGGCATGTACCACCACACCCGGCTAACTTTTGTTTTTTTAGTAGAGATGGGGTTTCGCCATGTTGGCCAGGCTGGTCTCAAACTCCTGACCTCAAGCAATCCGCCCACCTCAGCCTCCCAAACTGCTGGGATCACAGGCGTGAGCCACCATGCCTGGCTTAGTTTTCTGTCTTGATGATGAAAATGGATATAGAGTTATCAGAATCCACACTGAAAAGAAAATGTCCCTGAGGGTCTGTTAGAATTTATTCTGCATCTTAAATTCATATCGTAAGTCTCTTCTCATGATGTACTAAGTAAGGAATGTGGGGAACAGAACTTTCTAACCGTCTCAGGCAAACGTATTTCAGAATGATTCTACTTTGCAGTTTGTTTCCCCCGTCAACTTCTAATCTCCTTTCAAAGAACCAAGGACAGTTAAATATATGTTTATTCATAAGAGTAGAACACTCTCTTCTAATTTTTTCTCTAGCATAATATATCTTCATTTAACAACATTTGGTACTGGATTACTTTCTCAGCCAAGGAAAACTATGATAAAAAGATGCAGGAACCAGATAGATCGCCCCGATGCTATTTCTGGTCTAGTTACTAGTTAGCCATTTTACATGTTATCAAGATCAAGGATCAAGAATGTTCTTAGATTCCTGTATAAAGCATGTCCATTTGGTTTGAAAATATCAGATTGAAATTTCACTGGTTGCTTCTAATTAATGAGGTCATATTAAGAGTTCAGAAATCTGTGATCCTAAATACCACAAAGGGGTGAGGTTGGCCCACAATGACACTATTGGGACTAAAAAGTCTAATCAGAGGAGATTGGATTATAGAAGGCAGAGGGAAGAAAAACAGGTGGTAAATGAGAAGGAAAATCTAATCATGAAAACAAAACCAAAAAAATGGAGTTAAAGAATGAAAGAAAACAAGAAGACAATCTTATTCAATGTTTTTGAGGTGAGGAAGAAAATGTGGCCATGGATTACCACTGTAAAATCTCCCCACCCGACTGACCCCCTCCATAAATAACTAAATTATTCTTTGGGAGTAAAGAATGAGAGTGAGGTGGGAGCAGTAATTCATATAAGTCGAGCTTGCTTGAATTTGGAAAATTCTTTCCTTCTTTAGGTTTTAAAGTGACAGAAGTGGTAATGAGGTTTTTTTTGTTTTTCTTTTTTAAAAAGAAAGCTTATTTTGCAGTTAAGGTCATTTGACTTGCCTTTTGAAATGAATGCACTCCCATATGATATTGATATATTTAAGCTCAGAACAGTGAGATATTAGATTTAATTAAAAGAATCTACATTGCTTATGTAAGCCTTATAAGCCTTAAAGTTTGCTTTTTTTTTTTTTTTTTTAAAGATACAGGGTCTCACTTTGTCATCCAGGCTAGAGTATGGTGGCACAATCATAGCTCGCTGCATCCTCAAGCTCCTGGGTTCCAGGGATCCTCTTGCCTCAGCCTCCTGAGTGGCTGGGACTATAGGCATGTACCACTACACCTGGCTAAGTTTTTATTTTTAGTAGAGGTGGAGGTTTCGATATGTTGCCCAGGCTGGCCTTCAACTGCTGGCCTCAAGCAATCCTCCTGTCTTGGCCTCCCAAAGTGCTAGGATTACAAGTGTGAGCCACTGCACCCAGCCTAATTTATCTTGTTTCTAGTTATATGTCTTTTTTTTTTTTTTTTTTTTTTTGCCCACGCTGGAGTCGAGTGGCATGATCTCGGCTCACTGCAACGTCCACCTCCTGGGTTCAAGCTATTCTCCTGCCTCAGCCTCCTAAGTAACTGGGATTAGAGGTCCATGCCACCACGCCCAGCTGTTTTTGTATTTTTAGTAGATGTGGGGTTTCACCATGTTGCCCAGGCTGGTCTTGAACTCCTGACCTCAAGTGATCCACCTGCCTTGGCCTCTCAAAGGGCTGGGATTACAGGCATGAGCCACCATGCCCAGCCATATGTCTTAACCCAGCATCTATCATATGATCCTCAGAATGACAGCTTCCTTAGATTTTGTACCCTAATTGCCTTCTCTTGCTGCAGCCTAGTTTTGGCTCCAGCAATTCAGTAAAAGTAGTTCTACTGAGGTCCAGTATCATACAATCCAGATAGCTCCTTGATGGTCTTGCTTGGGTCAAGGAAACTTTGGGCTCTATGGTAAAATAGTGGAATTCCTTTAGGAATCTCTCCATCTTCATAGATATTATTTTTCACAAGTGAACTGTAGGAAAGTACCAAGTTTACAGTTAGATTTTCTGAAGAGAACATTAAGTCCAACTATTCTATGTTTTCAGACAATACTGTTTTAGAATCTCCACATTTTCTAGACTCCATGATGGTTAATCATAAGGTACTTAAGTTACATTATTTTTTAAAAACATATCATTGGTTGAAAGGCACACTTGAAAAGTGCTAATGGAAAAACCTCATTATAAGAACAGGAATAATCTCCTATCAACTTATTCAGAGAAAATTTATAATCATAATGTTTTAACTCCGGAAATCATTTAATTGTGCAAACAGGTTATCCAGTGGTAGAGGCAATGCTTTTAACTTTTAAACCAGAATAAAATAACAGGTTTTTCTTCCATAAATAGGCAATAAGTTTGTTTTTAACTTAAGGTCTTTGAATCCAGTTGTTTCAAAGTTAACAAATGAATGTCCAGAGAGGACACTAACTGTATCTGTACTGCTTCAACTAATGCTCCTGAAGTGTGAGATACTCCAGAAACAGAATAATGTTTCCATAGCTCTAAGACAAATAGTAAAATGAGGTAAATGTTTAAAGTGCTCATGATTGGACTGCATTCTGGCTAGATTCCAGGTGTACCTGGTGGGCTTTGTGTAACCTGAACTAGCATGCTATGAAATAGTACTGATATTTGAGTTGACTAAAATGGCAAATCTTCTGAATAATAAAGAAGACTGAATACTCATATAGATTCAGGAGTTGCTTATATGATTATCAACAGAAGAGATAAAAGAATGGATGACTAATTTAATCACTTTGGACAGCATGGAAAGGAACTTTTATGAAAAATCCATCTAGTAAGTGTGTTTGTTTTCTTTCTTTGCCCAGATTAAGAATTTGGACCCAAAATTTATCTGCATTATCTTTCCTGCTGAGGATTTACTTTTAGGTGGGGCTTCAGATGTCCTCTCAGCACTCACTTTTGACAATGAATGAACTAGAAAGTTTTCCCATCTATTGCTATTTTAGTTGGAATTCTATATTCACATATTTGATACACAGCTATAAAAAATGCCATCTAACTTTTATTGACATAGAGAAGAATGTGAACAAGAGAGCAAATGCAAAATAAATGTGGACTTGAGGTTCTGCTTTTCCTTTTATAGGAGAGAGACTAAATGAGGTTTATTCAAAGAATCTTCTAAAATTTCAAATTACTAGATGATGGAGAGAGTCAATTCTTTGAAAACTCTTCACACCTATTAATAACTTTTAAATGTAAAGAATTCCTGTATTTATATTTATAAATTATATTTGTTTATAAAATGTTATTACTGCCATCAGCTCATGTCAACTTTGTTAATATGCCTAAAATGTATTTAAGCATACACATTTCATAACAAAATACCCATCTCTGGATACAAAACAGAATCCTGTTTATATTAGGACACTTCTTACATATAACATTCTTTTGTTTATACATACCGTAGTGACTGTCAACTGAATATGCACATCCATTTTTTTTGTTCACATTTTTAAATGTTGGCTATAAAAAAAAAAACCACAGCCCCCCCAAATTGCATTCTTAATCTTCTCAGCTACACTGTTTACTGTAACAGCATCTAAGTGCCTGCAACATCATAAGCCTTCTATAGCTATGTGCTGAAGAAATGAGTAGTCGTTTGTAACACTTTAACATCTATGTGCAATAGGTAGCTCACCTGGCTTGCTGCAGAAGGACTTGCACAATTCTTCCGGTAACATGCCAACATATGGGCAGTCTGATTAACTAGAATTTCCCGGATGACCTTCAAAGGCTGGTGGAGAACTGCTTTAAAAGCTACATCACAAAACAATGAAAAGGACATGAGTTTTAGCTCAGACACTGATCTCTTCAAATAATCAAACAAAAAAGAACAAGTTGCTATTATCTTCAGACCACCCAGCAAGAATAATAGCATTTAAATCTGTTCAAGTCATTTGCTAATGGTCTCCTCTTGACTAAATATGATGATCTAACTAATGGAGAACATTGGCCTACCTACAGCAAAAGGTTATATTGGCCAGATTTACCTTCAGAATATTAGAATTGTACACACAGAAAAAAAGACAGGCCAATTTGTCATTTTTTGATGTCCTGAATTCTTACGGGCTGGATTGCTACCTTTTCCAAACTTTAGTGTAGAATTTCTCAAGGAAAGCCAAAGAAAATTCCACCTTGGGCCCATTCTATTTCATAGTTATCATGGTATGGATAAGCAAGTTTAGTCTAACATTAGAGATCGTCTCTGTCCATTAACCCAATGTGTCAGAGGGCATGATCATGTACCATAATAAGGGTCTAAGCATCATATTCCTAAATTTCAACTCAGACTGCCACCCCAGAAGTTAACTTTAAGTAAGTCTGTATAGCCAGACCCTGAACTGAGTTACCTCACTTATTAATTTAGAGTTAGGAATGCTGACTATTCTCTCTCAGCCTTTGCTTTTATTAGTTCTGAATTTACCCACCATAAGGTTGCAAAACTACAGTGCTTTTTAGCTACTGACAAATCTTGACTGAATTACTAAGCAAGGTTTACTGAACCTCAGGATTGGCAAAGTGTTACCTGACTTGGCAAAGAAGTTGATAAGAGCATCTGTCTCACAGCTCTTATAAAGATCAGCTAGCTGAGAGCTGCAGTTTAAGCCAAGATTGTGAATCCGAAGTCTTCTTTGACCACTGATTGTCGTGTAAAGCACAGCACACTGTAGAAGCAACATTGAGGTCACATGTTTTTCTGATTAACATATCCACCCAAGCTAACTTGATCTTACTTGCATTTACAAAACACTGTGTACAGATAGATAAAAGACCTCTAACTATTTTTCCACAGTTTTTTTTCTATTATTGTTAAAGAATGAACAACAGGAAATATGGGAGAATAATGACCCATTCATTTGCTGGGTTTCAATGTAGCACTTCACTGGTTTAAATTGTTGAGTGATTCACATGTAAATATCTATTTCACATTTCTACAACTAGTCTGCATTTTTCATAGCTCATGTTTTATTACCAGGGATCCAGGGGCAGAAACAATACCTTCATGTGCTCAGAGCCCTACTCAAGGCTCACTTTCTTAAAAACATACAACTAGCTTTCACAATGGACTTAGGTCTTATGCTGATGATATACATTTGAAGAATGCATAGATAGAAGCATTTCACCAAATATATGTGATTAAAAAATAAACTTTAGTTAAAAGTTCTTCTTCAACCTAATGCCAGCCTCTCTTCATCCTTTAAAGATGATGCCAATGTTTGGAAACTATGACCATGTATATCTAGTGGTCATAGTTTTTCTTGTTTTAATTCAGTCTCTATGGCTTCTAGTTAGTTTCACTTTAAAGAAAGCCAAATCCTATTCCACTTGCTTAACATCGTATTACGGGCTGAACTGTGGCTCCTCAAATGTCCTAACCCCCTAGTACCTAAGTATTTGGAGATGAGGTATTTAAAGAGGTAAATTAATTAAAATGAGTTCATTAGAGTGCACCCTAATTCACTATGACTGGTGTCCTTATAAGAGGAAAAACTTTGGATATAGGCATGTAACAGAGGGAAGATGATGTGAAGACACAGGGAGAAGAAAACCATCTACAAACCAAGGACAGGGGCCTGGAACAGATCCTTCCCTCTAGGCCCTCAGAAACCTTGATCTTGGAATTCCAGCCTCCAGAACTGTGAGAAAATAAATTTCTGTTGTTTAAGCTGCTTATTCTGTAGTGTTTGTTATAGCAGCCCTAGCAAATTAATATTCATATGGTAGATGTGAATAGGTGCTGAAGCCTAACAGAAGTGAATACCGTTGGAAGTCAGTTTGCTGATGCCTGTGATACTTACCACAAATTTGCTGGACTTGCATGCAATGACACATAATTGTCACTTCATATAAGTAGCAAATATGAATGAGTATGGAGAAACCTCCCAACTGAGTGTTCTAATCTACTGACTTTTGACTTTGGAGAAAGAGTTGAATTTTTTTATGAAGAGACTAACACATTTGATGGTATTTCAGTCTCCCCACTGATCATTGTCGGCAACAAACTAAAATAACGAAAGGTGGGAATACACTTTCAATCACCTGGATTAAGGCTCCACTGTCTTCACTGAGTTTGTCATCGTGCTTGAACTCCACGGTCACTGCCTTGTCACAATCGATGGCAGCCATTTCTACATCGGTGGTGTTGTTCATCAAGATTCCACCAAAGAAATCAGTGGCTCTGAAACCTAAAGATAAGGGAAAAAGGGAAATTTTGCTTGTCTTTATTCTACTGTTATTTTCTTTGTTGGCCTGTTATTAATTTGAAAAAGAAACAATTATTCAAGAGAGACCCGAAGAATTGTATAAATGATAATTACCTGTGCTGGTACGAACCCTCATAATAGCATCAAAGCCTATTTTCTTTTCAATATCATTTCTGAGGTCGTTCAAAAATTGTTGTCTATCCAAGTGCATCTAAAAAATAAAAGTCTAATCAATGTCCACCAGATGGCAGTAAAATACTTAAAATAACGTTCTCATTTTAATCCTGAGTTATAATAATTATTTTTAAAATCCCGATTTAGCATATTTTTTTATTATATATTATGCTTCTTTGGTTAAAGAAAATATAGCATTTTTGGACAGTGTTTCTTAACTTTTGAAACTAAAATCTCATCTATTATTTTCTTTCATTTTAACACTTGGATGAGAAAATCGGTTATTAATTGCAAATGGGAAAATTAAGAGAGCATAAGTGATCCACTCAGTGGCTTAGGGTTAGAGACAAGGTTAAGACCCAATGTATAATACCCGTTTAATGAGGCTAGGGAAAGACCTTGCAATTGGGGCTTTTTAAGTCTGACCACATTCAGAGCTTTGTGAAGCTATGTCAGGGAAAGTAGAAACCCCTTCTCCTAGCCCTGTTAACTACTCTACGATCACCGTATTTCTGAAAACTGTCCACATTCCACAACTAAGCAACATTTATATAATATGCACATGTGCACAATACTGAGCTCAGAGGTCACCCAAGAGAGGAAACAAACTAGCTGAGCTTCTAAAGCTTCTCATCTGTCAGTGAAACTCTTTAGGAAATTCTCACTACTACTTGACACATAGGAGAGACACTGACGCACGCATCTCATCCCTTCCCCCCAGTCCCAAACACGAAGGGAATGAAGGAGGAAAGGAAAGAGGGAGATCATAGACACAATCTTTACAATAATCCCTTTAGTTGCTTACATACAACTGGGTGGTGCCTGCATAGTTCTTGACCATCATTTTTATCTTACAATGTTATTGAATGGAAAAGACTATTAAAATTTGTATTGTTGAAGATAAGAAAGAAATGCTACGGCAGGATTCAGTTTTGCAACAACTGGAGTAAACAAACAACTGAATGGCAGCATAGGCAACATTAACACTCTTTTATTATAAAATATTTTACTGCCTGTTTACATCTTACTGGCTTTTCCTCTGCTGCATTATAACATTTCTTTTTTAGTAACATTGAAAGAATCAGTAATAATTATGGATACACTGAGGTACAAGTAAATATCCTTTTATATCAGAAATGACATGGGGTTGGCAAGTAACTCAAAAACTTAAATAGAAAAAAAAAAGTAATAAGCCTGGATGATTACACCACAGAGCACCCCCTGCCTACACATCACTTGGTAGGCTGCTCTTTGAAGCCAAGTCACTACCATGTAGATGATCACACCAGTACATAGCAAAGGACCTAGCAAGAACCCCAGCACAATTCACATATGCCAGGAATGGAAGATGATAAAGTCCTTTTTGGAAAAGTGGGGGGGGGAAAGCTTCTGATGAAATTTATCCCCCTAACTGGAAAAGGAGCTAAAATTGATTAGCATGGTAGGCTTCATGTACCTCAATACCCAGAATGTGGGTAGAATCAGTAAGGGTCAGAATTCTGTATGATTATTAAAAGTTTATTTTCTAGAGTGTATCTGAAAAAACATACTTTTATCCAGAAGTCTTAGAAAGAGTTGTTAAAGCTTTTTCAATTTTATTTCATTTACAATCTTTGGTCTTATCAAGTCCCTTAGTTTATAAAGAAATATGTAACTAGTCTCTATTCATAATTTTATTGATGATTAATAAAAACAGATGATGACTAACATTTGTCATTTATGTTGGAGAATACACCTTCCCAGTCCATGCCTCCACGCCTGCCCAGGCACACACATTAGAGGTACACCCCTGACCCCTTCTCCTTAGGTGATGGGGAGTGACTCATCTGATTAATAAGTTTGGGAAAAGGAACTGGGTGGGCACAGCCCAGCCTCTTCTGGGTCCTCTCCATAGGAAGGCAGCTTGCCTGCAGGAGGCACATATTTTCTGTCCCTCAATACAGTGTTTTTTTCAAGGCACAGGGGTCCACAGGAGAAACTCAGATCGTGCCCACTCTGTGCCGGGGCGCATAAGTTTGTGAAATTCAGGGGTGAATCAGCAAGCCCACTTGCCTGCAGACTCAGGCCCATTATAGTGCTGACATTTTGATTGTCTCTTGAATATCTCTCTCAATCAGGCTTGGAAAAGAGAAGTGTAATGAATTGATCCCTAAAATCCCAATAATTTAAAACAAATATGCAGTCACTTTTAAAAACATTATCTTAAGTATATTTTACATAAAATATATTTTTCTCCATTATGAAAGCTCACATTGATATTTGACTCTGAGGATGAATGAGCTCATTCTATCACCAAACACTTAGGAAGTATGGAATTGCCGAACCATAAATATATATGGTTCCTATATATATATATACACACACACACACACACACACAGTTGTCTCTCGTTATCTGTGAGGGATTTGATCCAGAACCTCCCACAGATACCAAACTCCACCAGATGCTCAAGTCCCTGACATAAAATGGCATATTTGCATATAACCTACACACATTTTACGTGTCCCTTAAATCACCTGTAGGTTACTTATTTTTAAATTTTTTGTAGAGACAGGGTCTTGCTATGTAGCCCAGGCTGATTTTGAACTCCCGCCCTCACGTGATCTTCCCACCTCAACCTCTCAAAGCACTGGGATTACAGGCATTGGGCCACTGTGCCCTGCCTATGTTACTTGTAATACCCAATACAATGTGAACGTTATGTAAATAATTGTTATCCTATAGGGGATAATGACAAGAAAAAAGTCTGTACATATTCAGTATAATGCAATATTTGGTTCTGAGTATTTTTGATCCGAGGTTGGTTGAAGCCAAGATGCAGAACTCTCCTTATAAAAAGGACCAACGGTATACTTTGTTTTCCATCTGCTCTTGAATTTATATGTGTCATCTACCCACCAGGGAACACAGCTTTTTAAACCTATAATCTAAACAACAAAATTAAAATGGGAGTAGAAGACCAAGGTGAACAAATTGCTGGCATTTACCTGGAAATTGTTGTATTTGTAAAGGGTTCCTCCAGTGAGCTGAGGAACCAGCCCCAGCGAGGCCACGTCCACATACTGACTAGGAAAGAGGAAGAGTGTCACAGAGCAGCCGTGAGCCACGCAGTCCTTGGCCAATGAGTCATAGACATTTGTTTGGGGCTGGAAAAGTATCTGGAAAAAAGATGCAAAAAAAAAGAAAAAATAAAAATTACAAAATGTTTTTGGTTTAAATTTTAAATTTCTATTGAATTCTTATTGAATTTTCAAAATGGAAAAATAGACATTTTCCCGTTAAGTGAACTGGGCTGAAGAAACACACTGTGGTCATCATCAGTGCAGTGGCCACCTGCTGAGCACCCAGTCTGTGCCAGGTCCGTGCTGTGTGAAATAATTGTGTGTTTAATTTTATTTGATACTCCATCAATCCTAATGGAGCTGATACTGCAGCCCTTACTTTACAGACTTAGATGAGGCAACTTGTGTGTTGCCGTGTAACCACTAGTTGGGTCCCTATATCCATAGCCTTATCCTTCCCACAGACATTCCCCTCACTGCTACACTGTCAGAGGTTTTAGGTGAAGGCATATTTTGAGAACCCCACACCTGTGCTTCATGCCTCAGGCCTCTGCCGCCAAGGGAAGAGTTTGTCTAACATGGTAAAACTCCTGACCTCGTAATCCACCTGCCTTGGCCTCCCAAAGTGCTGGGATTACAGGCATGAGCCACCGCGCCCAGCCTGGGGCCTTATTTTAATTTACATATTTCAGACATCGGTTTTTCTAGGAATATAAAATATTTTAAGTTGTCTGTAATCCAAAATATTCCTGTAATATGCAATGCCCTGGACTTAATTTATGAGATTTAGTTTCTCCCCTTTTTTCTTACATGAAGAACACACTGCCTCTTTAACTCCTCTTAATAATTGACATATGGATACTCAAAGAGTTACAAAGTACCTTCTCTTTGTCTGTATTAACCAGTTTTTTGTCATCTCTGTTTTTGAGCTTCCCTGGTGCTTCAGCAGTTGGCAAGGAAGAATGGAAGATGAACAGCTTCCCAGGACAGTCTGCTGCCTAAAAAAAAAAAAAAACCCAAAAACCCACAGAAAATGCCGTGAGTAGGAACATTTTAAGAGAATCAGAAAATAAAATATAAGTTCTTTCTATGAGCTAAGCACTATATTCATTTAATTTAATCCTCATAATAACCTTTGTGTCCTTGGGCAGGTACTATTCTATTTTACAGATTAGAAAACTGAGGCTGAGAGAGGACAAGCCAAAAGTCATAAAATTTGTAAATGAAAGAGAGCCAACATTTAAAGATAGGTCTGTGTATCATAACACTTTAAAAAAACTATTAAAATGATGTGTTACGACGAAATACTTTCTTATTTAGCCTACAGTATAGTCTTTCAGGACCAGGTAAATCCCATAATGTAAAGTAGATGGTAGAATTCCCAGGATGGTGATGCCAGAGAAGTTCTTATTTCAAATCTTCAGTAAACATGGATTAAAGCTACAGTGGTATTTTGAGGAAGAATGCATAAGAACGTAGTGGTGGTGTGGCAACAGTAGACAACAGGAACCAGCTATGAGGCATGAGGCCAAAAGGAAAAGTGTGGGATCAAGATTATATATCTGTAGTCTCTGGGAAGCAACAAAAAGAAGAGTCAAAGCTCCATGACAGTCAAGTCAGCATTAAGAATCAAGATTTAAAATTTTATTTAAGGAGCTAAGAAGTAACCTACTAAGCAAAATTTCCTGGAATTAAGTATGATTCAATATATTGTCCTTCCAACCCCTGCCTTTTTCCAAGCCATACTGCACACTGCTCCAGAGCACTGCCTCTGAAGTGAAGACAATAGCTCTGATCAGGTATGTGGCTTTTATCCTTATGAATCCTGAAGAGCTGAGCACAGTAGCTCACGCCTGTAATCCCAACACCTTGGGAGGCCAATGCAGGAGGACTGCTTGAACCCAGGAGTTTGAGACCAGCCCAGGCAACATAGTGAGACTCTTGTCTCTACAAAAATAAAAAGACTAGCTGAGCATGGTGATGCATGCTTGTAGTCTCAGCTACTCAGGAGGCTGAGGTGAGAGGATTGCTTAAGCCTAGGAGTTTGAGGCTGCAGTGAGCTATGATCATGCCACTGCACTCCAGCCTAGGTGACAGCAAGATCCTGTCTCAAACAAAGGAAGAAAAGGAGGAAAGAAGGAAGGAAGGAGGGAGGGGAGGTTGGGGGAGGGAGGGAGGGAGGGAGGGAAGGCATCCTGAAGGCTTTCTAGTACAGGATAACGTCCACAGTCCTTTATCTGGGTGGGAGCAGGAAGGGTAAGAAACAGTGAGATGAGCTGCTACCGACATTTATTGCATGCAGCTCTGTGCCAGGCTCTTCACATGTATTTTCTTTAACACTCACAACCTTGTTCAGCAGGTACTACTGTTTGCATTTTAAGAATAGGAAAACTGAGACTCATCCAATTTGCCCCAGGTCACACAAACAGTAAATGATAGCTTCAAAGGCCCTTTGAAGTTGAGTCTGAATCTATCTTTCCAGTCTTATTTCCAACATGTCTTTACCCCTGACATCTGCTTGCACTGGAAGTTTTAGCCACACAAGCTTCTTGCTTTCCTGGGATACACCACATGCTTTACACACCTCCATATCTGTGCACATTCTGTTCCCTTGGCCTGGAATCCATTTCTCCAGCTCTCTGCCTGCAGCTGTTATTTGCAAAGGCACAGTGTGCCTGGCTCATTTGCAAGATGTGCAGTAAGTGCTACTAATAATAAGGTACTTAGGTTTGTGAATAGCTCTCTTAAAAACAAAGAGAGAGAATTCAAGGTCAGTCCTGTCCCAATGTCTCTCTCAGTGAGTGACATTCTAAGCTCTGTGGAGTGGGTCAGAGAGGTGAAGACACAGCTGACACACTGAGAAGGGGTGTAACCTGGGGCCTGCTGTCTTGTCTCTGCTATGGCCAGTAGTGAGCAAAAATTTGTGTGCTGTGATCTTATTGTTGCATATGTCTTCCACCGAAAATTATTGATAGATGCAGCATTAATAAGAACACAAGGATAAATGAAGAAGCACATGTACGAATCTACAGGTATATGTACGCTGCATAGGAGAAAGAGACTAGCAAGGTTTTGGCCAGTAAAGACACATGAGCTCCAATGACCAAATCAGAGTAAAATTTACAGTAATATTGATTATAAAATGTTAAGCATGTTGAAAACTCTGAAATTCTATGACTGTGAATTTATCATTTCTGTAGCTTTTTTTTTTTTTTTTTTTGAGATGAAGTTTTGCTCTTGTTGCCCCAGGGTGGAGTGCAATGGTGTGATCTCGGTTCACCACAACCTCTGCCTCCTGGGTTCAAGCGATTCTTCTGCCTCAGCCTCCCAAGTAACTGGGATTACAGACGTGCGCCACCACGCCCAGCTATTTTTGTATTTTTAGTAGAGATGGGGCTTCTCCATGTTGGTCAGGCTGGTCTCGAACTCCCAACCTCAGGTGATCCGCCCACCTTGGCCTCCCAAAGTGCTGGGATTACAGGTGTAAGCCACCATGCCCAGGCCTGTAGCTTTTATTATTATAAAAATACTTTTAAAAAAATTCAAATATCAAAGAGGGTATAAAGCTTTAAAAAAAAGTCTACCTTCTCCTCAACTTTTCTTGCCTGGCCCACCCAATTCCCCTAAGGCATTCACTGTCAAAAATTCTATTCATTTAGACATTCTCTACTCATATTAATATTGCCGTTTTATACTATAGCAGTAAAGAACATGGGTCCCACCTGCCATGATCAGAATCAGCCATTTTATTATCCGAATGACACTGGACAAATTATTTAACTTCTCTAATTCTCAATTATCCCATGACATAGGCAATACATTAAACTACACAAAATATTGTTGGGAGAATTCCATCATCCAGTACACATTATTAATCATAATTAAACATACTTGATTGTCTTGTTAATATTACCTATAGTAGGCCGGGCGTGGTGGCTCAGGCCTGTAATCCCAGCACTTTGGGAGGCCCAGGCTGGCAGATCACAAGGTCAGGAGATCAAGATCATCCTGCCTAACACGGTGAAACCCCATCTCTACTAAAAATACAAAAAATTAGCTGGGGCGTGGTGGCACACATCTATAGTCCCAGCTACTTGGGAGGGTGAGGCAGGAGCATCACTTGAACCTAGGAGGTGGAGGTTGCAGTGAGCCGAGATCATGCCACTGCACTCCACCCTGGGTGACAGAATTAGACTCCATCTCAAAAAAACAAGAAAATTACCTACAGTAAAACTCTGAGGGAAAAAAAAATCAGGGCCCACTAGGAAAAAAGGTCTATATTGTTTAAAAGTCATATTTATTTTTTCCTTATAAAATGGTTAATTCTAGATCCATAATTTCATAAACACACAATTATATAGTCTTTTATAAGTAGCAAATTAATAAAAGATAAAGTTCCTATGTATTAAATGTTCTATTCCCTACAAAAATTTATGTTTTCACCAAAGCCTGACTCTGCCTATAGGAGCGAGTCATACAGAATTAATGAATGCCATATATCATTCTTAACATGGCAGAAAACAGGTTGAGAGAGGCTGGCTTGGAGAACTCATAGTCTGAAATTCAGCTCTGACACCCTTTCCTCTGAGAGACAAGTTATTAACACCCTCGACAGAGCTTATTATCTCTACCTGCTTTTTTTTTTAATAGAAAAGACTATCCTAGAATTAATGACATTTGTATCACAACTTTAAGTATCCTACTGTCTTCTCCTGTAGATCAAGGGCTCCCTGAAAAGGAAGGACCTTGATTTTGTGTTTCTCCAACCCCCATTGAGACTACCACCTTCCATTCTATGGTGCTCCATAAACCTTTGTGCAAGGAGCATTGTTTGTGATGCATTCCCCTGCAATCACACTTAGGTACGTATTATGGATAATTTACAGATAAATTCCCCCCAATTCATCATGTATTTTAAGCATAACCACTAAAGGCCATTTTCTTCCAATTTTTTTTTCTTCTTTTTTTTTTTGCCAAATCTTACCCCCAATTTTATGGTGGAAATAATAGCTAACTCAGAAAACTGTTCTTTGGCCAAGTTAAAAGACAATACCAGCAATTCATGTATAGTTGAGTTATGAAGGTCAGATTTTGAAATAAATGCAGATTTTGAAAGACTATGTGGGGAAAAAATGCTATGAGTACAAGATGCTGTGGACATGGAAGCATTTACAACAGAAAAGAGTGCACTGAAGCCTTTAGCTGGATATTTCAAGGACTTTTCAAAAGGACGCATAAGAACTTTCCAAACAGTTGCTGTTTATCTTCATGACAAATTAGCACAATTTTTGGTTAGTTTTTGTCTACTGTTTGCTTCAAGAAGTTTACTACTACTGATTATATATAGATTTTACTTGGCATCTAGCTGATAGAAAATAAAGTTATAATAAAGTTATAATTCAAATAGGGGAGTACTGTTCTGAAATGTTTTCACTTGAATACACGATAAGAAAGCTTTCACTTTATGTTCTTTCCATTTCTACTCCCTGTGCACAGGGGATGAGACTCTCATCTCTGGTCTTCCGGGCAGAATATCCTGAGTTATCTGGCTGACCAGCCACAGTCCTGGGCTTTCTAAAGTTACTCTTTGCCCTTCTCCCACCCCCATTTAAAAAAATATAACCAACGAACATTATGTTTTGTATTACAGAGTTACATCTCTTCCAGCACACTCTAAGCAGCCTAGGGGCAGGGACAGCAGTGGAGCATCACGCAGCCTCTGCATGAAACTGGCATTGGGGAGAACAATGTTTACTTTGCCAGCAGGGACAGCAGTAACTGCCATTGACATTACGTCCAACAGTGTCACTTTGTAAAGACAGTTCCTTATCTATTTATAAAGAGTTATTTACCTTTTATAAAGATAGTTCATTCTACTTTGTAAGAACATTATTATACTACTCATTAAGTTTGTATTTATGAAGTTATCCTGAGTTGTTATATATTTAGATATTAGTTTCTTCTCATTTTTAAATGTCAAGGTAAAAATATGCATTACTATAACAATAAAATTGCAAATATAACAAAAAATAAGATGCAAAAGATATGAAGATACATCACATCAGCTGAAATGAGTTGGACTCTAGTAAACTGGCTGATGGCTGACTATACTGATTGCTGCAGTCGTTGTACTGCGTGAGCAACCTTGGAGAACATGGCTATTAAGAACATACTGATTTTCATAATGCATCATAATTAGTATCAAATTTCAGATACATAGAATGCATGTACACAATTTGCTTTATATATTTTTTCTTTCTAAGCTGCCAAGCAGTCTCTAGACCTCTTGTGGACTGCCAATGTGGAAACCATTGTTGTAAGATAGCATTGCTCCCTTTTAGAAATGAAATATGGGGTTGAGCTGGAACTCTACACTCAGATCCTGTGGAACCTTGGCTGTACAACTCTACTATGCTCTCTTAATTGGTGAAATATTAGCTAATGAATATCTACTCATCCTTCCTTTTACACACAAATCCATGAATGTAATATTATTCCCAGTCCTAACTTCTTAGAGTAGAAAGACTTGTAGGGTGATGTATGACTTATTGTGTACAGGAACATTTACATATGGATTTCTAGATACCTTATTGGAGGAGAGAAGAACAAAAACAACCCTTTCAAACTGAAATAGAAGACATTTGTTTGTAGTAACGTGGAATAAAACAAATTCCTTTCTTTCTGAAGACCAACCAATTATTATTTGTTTGCTTCTGTTAGGTGAGCCTTAATATCTTCAAGTTGCTTTATAATATTTGTTATTAATTTTATGTTAAATTGACATATATTCTGAGACTTTTTGAGTGATATCCACAATAGTCTTTGATCCCATAAATGAATACTCTTGCAGATTAAAAAAACCCAAGCAAGAATCACTGTCTTAGAACCAAGTTATACATTTAGATATAAAATTATGTGGGAAGTGTCTCATAAACTCAGTTCTGTAATACAGTTGTTGCTGTTTTTGTTATTATTACTAAGCATTTTATGTTAAAAGTTAATTTAAATTTAACTTTAATAACAACATTTTAAAATTAATTTTAGAAACTAGCTGTCAGGGCCAAAATGGTTTGACTCTTGTGTTAAGGTAATAATGATGATTTAGAGTGAGGGCTTTTTTTTTTTTTTTTTTTGAGATGTAGTTTCGCTCTTGTTGCCCAGGCTGGAGTGCAATGGCACCATCTTGGCTCACCACAACCTCTGCCTCCCGGGTTCAAACGATTCTCCCACCTCAGCCTCCCAAGTAGCTGGGATTACAGGTATGTGCCACCACGCATGGCTAATTTTGTATTTTTAGTAGAGACGGGGTTTCTCCATGTTGGTCAGGCTGGACTCAAACTCCCAATTTCAGGTGGTCTGCCTGCCTCAGCCTCCCAAGGTGCTGGGATTACAGGCGTGAGAGTGAGTGCTTTTTAATCATTACGGCTTCTTCAGTTTACTGTCTTCATTACTATGAGAATGATCAGAGTCATTTTGGACTCAGCTTCCCAACTGGAGACATGGCCAACCTCTCATCTACTTCTGGCAATCAGCATTCACATCTCTGTCACTGACTGTGACAAGGCCTTGGCCTGTCATGTTTGAAAATCCCATGGCTGGGGAGGGTGATATGGGAATCTGGTAGTTCTGATATTGTTGGACTAATTTTAAAATAGACCATATAAAGTTCATATAAAAGCCAGAGGGAGGAGCTAAACTGGAAATCCTGGCAAAATGAGTTGCTCAGATGCTAACAGTGCTGGAATGGACACACTGGGAGCAATCTGTGGTTTTGGTCATTTCCTCCTGAGATCTGAGTGGAAGTTTGGAATAGCCTCTAGTGACCCACGTTTTAATGAAGACTGTCTTTTCTTTCATAAATGAAACTTTCTTATTTTTTGTCTCTCTGTTTTTAAAATTTATTTACTAGCAATTAGAAGTGGCTTCTTCTCACCTTTAGTGCTTCCATGCCAGCCTGGATGACAGGAGCAAAGACAGTCTCATTTTCATTAGAGTCTGCAAACATGTCTGGAATCTGGTCCAACAAACTATAAGACATGAGTAAGCAAAAGGTTTGAAATGTTTAGCATATTTTAATAAACTTCAAGCAATAAATCACTAACATTTCAAGCCTAAACACATATGGTATTTATTTGACACCAACACCTATAGGTAATTTTTCCTTAGGAAATGATATCTTAGCGTGGCTTGGCACCAAAATCTATGATTTGAATGGAACATTTACAAAATCATTCTTTGTAGATATTTTTTCTATTCACTGCAATACTGATCTCTTAGACCATAAATTCTTGGAACAGTGGCTACATCTTCAGTTATTACCATCATCATTGAATACATTCATCCATATATAGGAAATAGCTCCCTTGCGATACCTTTCCAGAAAAAGAGGAAGAACCAATAGGGCTGAATGTGAGCATTTAAAAAATTCTTAGATACTGGTCTATATTTAAAAATCTCTTAGATACTTGTCTATATTTAAAAAAGACTGACTTAACATAAATGATAGAGTTTTATAATCTGTGTCTTGAAACCCCCTTGCTAATGATAAAACAATGTATGATTGAATCAAAACACAGTGCAATTAAAGACAAAACACCTGATTTACTTTTAAATTATAAAACACTTGATATTTACTTATGAATCACAGATTGGGATTCTTGATAGTTGACAAGGAAACCATCCAACAAAGGAACAAAGACTTCTCCAACATCAGTCACCACCATCATCTGAGGCTGGGCCAGATTACTCTTCACATTAAAGAAATGGAGAACTTTGTTATATGTGATAAAACCCACTCGAATTGCAGACGTCTCTTCTTGCTCTTCCCTGTAAGGAAAAAAAAAAGTGTTTGAGATGCTTTATAAATTTAGATGAAAAGGAGGTTTCTATCTGAAATTCAGTAAGTGTGTCTTCTATAAAATACATAAAAACATGTTTAAAGTTTTTGTCTTACTTTCTGTTACCAAGTGTAAACAATACTAGTCACGGCAATGGGGGATAGGAGTTATTACAAAAATAAACAAACTGATAAGGAAAAAAATCCTCAAAATTCTAGGTAAAAATCAAGTAAACACTTGTTCATATTTCTGTAACATATTTATTTTCAATCTATAGAAAACAATAATGCTTTTTTCATGAATAAGCTAGGCTTCTTACATTCCTTATAAACAAGGCTCTCTCAAAAGTCACCAGAAGGTCAGAAGAACAAATGGAATATTTGAAGCAAGGGATGAGGAAGCCATACTCATATTACTAACAGGACAGCTGCTTTTATTGAGAAAACACTTGCTCCTCTTCTCTGATTCTTTTCTTACATATCAGAGAATCTCAACAGAAAATAGGCTAGATTTGGGGAACTATATACCTTATAAACACATAGTATAAATATATAAAATAAGTTACATTTATAAAATGACAGTGTAATTGTTATTAGGTGACCATTTATGATGGTCATGGCAAAGCACTAAAAAGCTCCAAAGCTCTAAAACTGTAACAAAAAGTAGATTTTTTTTTTTAAGGAATTCCAAAACGAGGCCTTAGTATTCCTGTAAGTATAAAGGCATGAATGTTCTCGTTCCAGTCTATAGTCTATAGTGAGTACCTTCAGAATTTCATGGTCTAAACTTAGTTTCATGTTTGTTGAGTGCATTGTACAGTCTATTTTTGTCTCCCCTAAAAGAAAACACATAGATACTATTGATGCTCTTACCAATTTTCAATGGAGAATATTACATAGTGCTCAATGGTTAAAGAAAAGACACAAAACATACATGCCACTTTCTTTGACCATTAGATGTCAGCATAACTTATTTTGATTAAAGGACAACTTTTTTGAAAAGGAACCTGGTTTGCCCAGCTTCTAAATTTTGCATACGGCCTAAAGAGTTACTTGAGTACAAGGGAGAGGAAAATGGAAGTATCTAGATGGAAGTATCTCAAGTTCAAATTGCTGATTCTGCTGCAGACTTACCAATTTCTTTGATATGTCAACAGAGTACAGGCTGATAAGGTACTGACTCTGAACTGTGTTTTCTTCTCTACTTCCTTCACTAACTGAGGCTATTTGTTCTTCACTGGGCAGTTTAAATAGATTCTCATAATCCCTTCCAAAAGCACTTGGAAACTGTTTATATTCTGGACACTTGCAAAGCTTTCAGAAATGAGAATCCCTATTCTTTCTAACTACACATACAACAGACACTCACACACACCTCAATTATCCTAAATGGTGCAACTTTATGCAACTAACCACTATGCTATACTGCATCCATACTCACCCCAACCCCCACCCGATTCATTTGAATCTTACTCTTCAAAACCAAGTGCAAATTCTTCCTCCTCTGTGAAATCTCCCCGATGCTACCAATTAGAAGTCATTTCCTCTTCTAAACACTTATAAATCATTCTCATTGGGCTCTTAGCATAAGGTACCTTTTAGTCACAAGTCCTTGACTGCATGCTAATAAAGGACAGGACCCAAAGCTTATGTTATCTGTCCCCTGAGGGTCGGGTACAATGTGGGGAATTCGATATTTAACTGAGGATGACTATCATGATGGTGAAAAACTGGATTTGGGATGTCAAGTTAGAGCCCCAACTGATAACCCAATAGTATACATTTCTTCCCAACTCCAGTTTAGTCATGTCACCCTGATAGTTTAGAACCAGCCTGGCTAGAAGCACTGACACCATGGATTGAGCTAACACTACAAATTAAGGCTTTATTTTTTTGAGAGCTTACCAGCACACCACTAGTTAAGCTCCCATTTCCCAGTAAAACTTTTTATGACATTAGGTGAAAAATATCCCAGCAAATCACAAAGGGCTTTTATTCTCTTTTAATAGTTAATTTAGAATCAACTAAGGCAAAATACATAAAAGAAAATCTACAGAGGAAAAACTAGATTACTATTTCCCATTGGATTTGGACATTTTCAAGTGACGGGAAAGGAGTATCCTGGGATTCACAGGGTTCACTTAAGATCTAAATTAACATTTTTTAAAAGCATCTAATCAGAACATCCTACATTATTGCAAAATATTAGTACTGGTCTCCATGGGAACTTTTTTTTATTTGTTTGAGAAACAGAACTGTCCTAAAATTTTCTTCAACGGTGTAACTGCCTTATTAAATCATATCCAGAAGAAAACTAATTTTCAGCCTCTCCTTCCTATTAATTCTAGACATGTTTTGTGAAGTTATATAAGAGATTTCATAAAGACTAATACATTGATGTTCTTTTTTTCAATGATTACTTCTCTCAATGCTTGACCCATCATCATTTTAATGGAATGAACCTGACAGAGCAATACTGAAGACATTGGTAACTAGATGAACCAGAAAATTTTAAGATCAAGCATTTGGAACGTTTTAGTTACAGCAGCATTAAAAACAAACAGACAAAAAAAAAAAAAAGGCAAAATAACTAAAGAGCTTGATCTGAATAACAGATGAAACATTCAAATCTTTTCTTTCCTGTTCCAGAGAAGTCAGAAAAGTCTGGCGACCTTGAGAGGCCAAAGGTATAAATTCAAAGTTAAATAGTAAAGAATGAGGCCTTCCTTTTTCAAAAGATCAGCTAAGAGATTAACACACTCTCAGATGTTAATCAAGACTTCAGACTGTGCTTTTTAAAAAGCTGTTTGGCAAGTAGATCAAATTGATGACAATCTTACCTTAAAAAAAATAAAGTTACACATATGCACAGCCCAAAATAAATTTCAGGGGAGAAGAAACAACCAGATTTGTTTTAAAAGATAAAGTAGAAAAAGGTAATTGGCTTGAATAAAATCTTTTAAAAGAGAGATCGGAATAGTGGCAGAGAATAACCAACAGTATCCTTTTATTTTTTCCTCCTATCTTTTGCCAAAGTCACACATCTGTGCTCCAATGGTACATAAAGTTATAATGACACCAAAGGAAAGAGTATGATTTCATAACTTATATCAACAGGCTATTAGCTTCATATCACCAGCATTGATAAGGAACAAGGGACTGGTGAAGTAACTGTCTAGGATAATAGATTAGCCTAAGTTGAACCAGTTTGAGAGAAGGAAAAGAGAGAAAGACCATTTCCAGCAATTAGAGTAGTTTTCTTTCATGCTAATCAAGTTCAAATTCAGATTAAACCAACCCCATGAGAGAGTTCTGTAATAAAATACATCATATTCAGCAGAAAATCCATACTTCTCAAGTTTCCTTAAGAATAGGGTAAGGGAAACTACAGTCACAAACACATCTGCAGGCATCAGACGCCTTTCTTATGCCACCATCTTCAACTTGCTCCCAGCTCATTCTTCATTTTAGAATTTAGTTTGAAATTGCCTCGGTGTTTTTTAAACATCCCCACTGCTTTTCCAAACCATCTTCGAAAATATTATGACTTCAGCTTCACAGATACAAACAAAACCACTCCTGGGAGGTCCAGAGTTCATTTGTCTGAGCCTCACATCTCCCAAAGCACCAGTCATATGTGCAAAGAATACAGAGGAATGGGCACCCAAAGATTCATGGAGCTCTAAGGGCTGAAGCCAACAACCCACCCTCCAGAAAAACATCCTTTTCCAGAACAAAGATTGTTGATGTTCAGGGAGACAGGTTGGGGGTGGGACACGTAGGGACTAGGTTACAGACAACATTTCCCAGCCTGTTCATATTTCCTCGCATGAGGGATGGCATTCTCCCTGCTCATGAATCTCCTTACTAGATGTTATTCCTCATCCTAAACAACTAGTTTTTATAATAAGATAATTTTAAAATAGCCACGTTTGATATTAGTTTTAGGAGAGGCAATAAGAGAGAAAAATAAAAGGATAGTGTTAGTTATTCCATGCTAGTTTCCAAATACCGCTCTTAAAAGCTTTTATTCAAGCCAAGATACATTTTTTCCTCTTTATTTTTCAAAACAAATCTGGTTGTTTTTTCTCTCCTGAAATTTGTTTTGGGCTGTGTATGTGTGTAACTTTATATTTCTTATGGTAAGACTGCCATCAGTTTGATTTACTTCTTTGTATTAAAGCAGGTAATATGCCCAACAGCCTTTTTAAAGCACAGTCTGAAGTCTTGAGTAAGGTCTAAGGTATGTTCATCTGTTAGTTATTAGAATTAGTTTTTCGCCTTTCCTTGCTGCCCTCTTGCAATGGCAAGGAATGTGGTGCACCTCAGGCTGTTAAGTTACAGGACACAGAGGCAGTAAAGCTGCAAATGGGTTGGACAGCTTATCATAAGGGCAAAAGGAAATTGCTTAAAAATCTACCATCTCTGCCATAAGACAACAGTTCAGTTTCCTGTCATCCCTTCGAACTCTGCCATGCTCAGCAACTACTAGTGTCCATTGGAAAATCAATGCTTTGAAAAGTGAATAACACATCCAAAGTCTTTCCTACCACACTGTTGGGATTCTTCTTATAATTTATAATGTACTTTGAAAGTTCTTTACCATAGCATTTCTTTTTATCAGTTTGTTTCTTTTGCTTTGTACAAAAGATCACTCTAACTTTCTAAGGACTCAAAACAATGATGCTGTTTGATTTATGACTAATTACCCAGTGTCCTCATTAGCAAAAAAAATCAATTGGTCATTCAGCACTTATCTTCTGGCCAATAAATTAATTAGGCAATAATGTATAAGTTGTAAAAAGAATGACGGTTGCCTTACTTTGGAATTTTTTCCAGCATGGTCTTCAGTTCTTCACATATGAGCTTGACAAGTCCATTCTTTATGTTACTATATGAAACATCAATCATGAAGATAAAGGCTGGTGGGTTGGGAGGCTTACTCTTCTATAGGAAAGCAAACACATCACATAAATAAAGTAAATACATTGCATAATCAAATGTCAATACTCATTAGAAACTCTTGAAAGTCATCAGATGTTTCATTTAATATTTAGGATATACCATCTGTGGAATTAAATCATTTTTCCAGAATATCTAGAGCATCTGGTTTCAGATGCTATTAAAAAGATAAAAGAAGTTGTTTATTTTCCAGGCTATGACCTGGGTTAGTATTGAATTAGACACTATTACGACATCTAGCACAGAAGGTTCACTTTTGCAAAGCTTTATTATTACAGTTGCTGAAGGGAAAGTACAGAATCATGGCCAGACTTGCTTGTAACACTCTGCCTTACAGGTCGAAATATGTTTGGCACACTAAAAAATTATGCTAAAAAAGAATACATATAATAGTGTTTGTTTTTGAAACTGTAATAAAACTTCATTAACTTGGATGTCACTATTTTAGACTCTCTTCTTCTATCAACTCTTTCCATTTTAAAGATATGAAATTGTGTATGAAAATATAACTGTATACTTTTGAAAACTGTACTATATTTTTAAGTACTGACCTAGTTTTTTACATATTTGCGGTAACATAGAACGTCAGGCGTTTTCTTTATCTGTTTAAAATAATCACTGTGACATAAAGCAGCTGCTACGAACATGTTTTTTAGTTGTTGGTCCCTTTACTGGCTGGTGTTCAAACAGCTTTTAGGAAGTGATCCTTCAGTTGCATCTTACAAAATATTTAGAAAAGAGAGCCACAGGCAAACAACTTTAGTGACCTACATACGGAATAAAGAATTTAGACCAACTTAATTTTTAACTTCATAATAAATCACAAAAATTTTCTAAAATTGTATTTTAATTATTTTAAAATTAGATGACAATGTCTGTAAATTATCTTTCTGATTCATTCTATATCCACTACAAGGCTAGAGATAACTTTTTAAAATAAAATCCTTCATTTTAAATAAAAACAAATTATAGGACTTAAAAATCATCATCCTGAAAACTTCAAGCCTTTGCCAAAATCAGACCAACAAAGAAATGAAGGAATTCTGCTATGTGAATAATTTTTATTGCAAATCATTCCTGATTCACACCTACTTTAATTCACAGCATAGACTTGTGCTGATTTATAATGGATGAAAATAACAACCTTTCCATTAGTTAAATCAAAACCTCTTTGTGACAAACCCAAGTGTGCTGTACCATTCTTTTAATCTCTTCTATCAGCATTACCAATTCCTCATGGAATATTTTCCACATCTCCAATTTGCACATTTCTACAGAAATGCTTCACTATAACTGGTTTTTGAAATATTCAAAATTAATTCATCGTTCCTCTAAATCACATTCTCTTCCCATTTCTCTATATGGGAATAACGTCACTACATGCCAACTCAAGGCTTCAAAGTGTGAAATTAGATTTGGCTGTTCCTTTTCCTTCAATAACTGAGTCCCATTGTTTTCACTTTCAGAATGATTCTTTAACAATGTTTCGGCCCATCCCTACTCTTAACCATCTGAAAGCTTGTCATCTTGTGCCTAGATAACTGTCATGGCTTCATCATTAGCTTTCTTAATCTATTTCTCTACCCATTCAATCCAGCTGGCTTTGTCCAGCCAAGCTTAACATGTATGTACTCTATAAAATGCTGGTTTTCCATGCCACCTTACTACAACTGCTCTCTTAAAGGTCACTGAACCATCCAGATTGCAAAGTACAGTGACTTGAAATAAAAATCCAGCTCTTATCCTAGATCTCTTCTATCTCTTTGCAACTTCAGGCACACCAGACCACTTTGGCTCTCTTAGCTGCCAGGACACTGAAGCATCATTTCCTCTCCCAGTTCTCTAACTGTTGCTTCTGTTTTTCATTTTCTCATCTTTATCCAACTTCTCTCCTCCCACCCACGTCCATCACAGAAATCTCGTTCATTTGCTCAGTTTTAACCAGCACCTCTATATAGGCAACTCTTCAAATTCTTTCTCATCATGATTCCTTTTGAGCTCAAGACCAGCATTCCAATTAACTACAGCACACATCCACATAAAAGTTCTGCCAGCACCTTAGACTCAAAATTTTAGAGATTATGACAACATCTCTCCAACTATACTGGTCTTTCCTACAAGAAACTTATAAAAAAACACGATAAGCTAAAATAACCTGGGCTTGAAATCTCACTGTCTCCATGGACTTGTCCACCTCACTTAGCATCCACAACCAGTTAATTGTGAAGGCCCACGTGGCTCTTTTAGTTCCAGTAGCCAAATTTAGATCCTCAATTTCTCTCTTTTTCTATTATTTTTAATTGTGGCGAAGAAAACATAAAAATTGCCATCTTAACCATTTCAAGCGTACAGTTCAGTGGCATTAAGTGCACTCACAATGCTGTGCAACCATTACCACCATCCATCACAGAATGCTTTTCAGCTTGCAAAACTGAAACTGTACCCATTAAACAACCTCTGTTTCCTCTCTCCAGCACCTGGCAATCACCATCCCATGTTCTGTCTCTATGAATTTGACTATTCTACATACCTCATATAGAATCATTCCATATTTATCCTTTTTGTGGCTGGCTTATTTTACTTAGCATAACATCCTCAACATTCATCCATGTTGTAGCATGGGTCAGACTTTTCTTCCTTTTTGAGGCTGAATGATATTCCATTGTACGTATATACCACATTTTGCTTATCCATTCTTCTTCCATAGACACCTGGTTGCTTCCTCCTTTTGGCTATTGTGAATACTGCTGCTATGAACAAGGATATGCAAATATCTTTTTGAGACTCTGCTTTCAATTATTTTGGGTATATACCCAGAAGTGAAACTGCTAGGTCATATGGTAATTCAATTTTTTTTTTGTTTGTTTAAAGAAGTCTCACACTGTCACCTGGGCTGGAGTGCAGTGGTGCGATCTCGGCTCAGTGCAACCTCCAACTCCCGGGTTCAAGCGATTCTCCTGCCTCAGCATCCCAAGTAGCTGGGATTACAGGTGCCCACCACCAATGCCAGCTAATTTTTTTTTTTTATTTTTATTTTTAGTAGAGACGGGGTTTCACTATGTTGGCCAGGTTGGTCTCAAACTCCTGACCTCGTGATCTGCCCGCCTTGGCCTCCTGAAGTGCTGGGATTACAGGCATGAGCCACCGCACCTGGCCGGTAATTCTATTTTTAATTTTCGGGGGAATTATCGTACTACCCTCATTTTCTCATAGTTGGACAACTACATTAATTTCTAATGTTCCCTTGCCTCTAATCTCTCCTCTCATTATACAGACTGCTGTCAGAATAAACTGTCTGATGCTCAATACAGATCACAATGCTTCCTTCTCTGAGAACAGGAAATTTACTGAGTCCTCAGAGCCTAGCACAGAGCATGGCACCACAAACAGTGCTCATTAACTGTTGACTGAGTGAATGAATGCATGGATGAATGAATGGAACAACTCCACCTTCACCTTTAATTGTCCTCATGGCCTACTGAATTAAGGTAAGTTCTTCAATGGCCTGACATTCAAGACTTACCATGATACTCATTTAACAAACATGTATAAAAACCTAAGAAATCAAAGATACAATGCTGGACCCAGGGGAAAATAAAAAGATAGACTGCGTCTCAAAACAATGTCCCAGCTTTACTTCCCATTATTCCCAATACACATTCTCCCAACAATTTAAGTAGTTTACATTTCCAAAATATCTCCTGTCCAAAAGTCACAGACTAGTGGGCCTAAGCCAAGAATTTGGCTGGAAAAGTGTTTTGTTTGGCATAGTGTTTGAAAAAATATTTGAATTTGAATATGTTTTGAGGGAAGGGGGAATATACTCTCTAATTATCCTGGTCCATGTCACTTCATCTACAATGTCTGCCTAGCCCCTAAAGAAATCTGAGTAAATTGTCAATAAGTTTGTGAAACTATTTCTGCTCACTGTCCTAGTTGTCATGTCCAGGCTCATAATCTAATCAGCTCAAATGTCACTTCCTCTATGAAGCCTTCCCAATCCTGTTTTCTTACGGCACTATGATTGTTCTATTCTTACTGCATTTATCATATTTGAGTTTATATGAAAACTATAGACATTTCTTATCAGGTCTATACATTGTAAGTACCTTGAGAGCAGGTTTATTATCTTGCTAATTTTGTTATGCCTTACAGCACACAGACAAGTACCTTAGACATGTTAGGCATCTGGTAATGTCAAAGTGAATTAAAATTAAGTGAAGAAACTACATTTTTGTTCAGAAAAAAAAAAAAGCTGACTTGGATGGAGACTTCACATTTCAAGTACACTTTACATGCAGATATATTCCATAAACTTATTAATGATAAACTCTCAGTTATATGGCAAAGCTGAGGCCTTTTTTTTTCTGAGGGAACTCCAGGATGATTGTGTTAATACTTGCTCATGTATACACAGTGTACTGATTAGAGAATAGGGCTTCTGTGATCACACAGATACGGTTTTCAGTCTGGCTCTGTTACTTTCTGGATGTATGGCCTGAAGCTGGCACTTACGCGGTCTCTAAGCCTAAGTTTCCTCAAGTAATGATGGTACGCACCACATGGGTTCACCGTGAGGACTAAATGATACAATACATAGAAAGAATTTAGCCTACAGCTTGGCACATGGTAAATGTTCAATAATGTTAATTTTACCATCTAAAATCAACATTAAGATGAGCCAAGATGAATAGGAAAATGTGATTTTGTAATTCCTCTTTCCAAGTGCATGGTGTAAAAAATACATGTACAAATTAAATAAGCTTTTTCATTGTCTGAATAGCTAAGCCAACTCATTATTATACTTTATTTACATTTTAAATTATAATCAAATTTGAAGATGTTTACAGCATATTTATTATGAACTCTACTTGGAATAATAAAAGGAAGATTATGCTTACAAAAAGTTCTTCAAAATGTACAATTTTTATTTGGTTCCTTGCCTGGCTGGGTGAGATTTCCCATCAATTAGACTTCTGGAATATTTCCAGATAACAGAGTTTGAAGATACTAAGACTTTTGTTCCCAGAAACAGATTTGACTCTCTGCCTAAGTTACTACTAAAAAAGCATATAATCAAGATCATGTCACTTTTTTGGCAGAGAACTAGAAACTGAGAGCAGGGTTAGATTTATACTATGGTTGCAAAGATCGGCAAATAAATTTTCCATCATTAGTTACAATGGCTTTCTTACATTGAATTAAAACATTAAATGTTTGCATGTTGCCCAATGATTCTCCTTCAGTTAACAGCAGTTAGGAACAACTAAACTGTCCAAAAGTCACTGTATTTTAGGACATGCTTCTTGCCTAAAATAAAGCATTTGTACCAAAAATATTCCTAAATTTCCCTAAGTATGTTCAGATGTTGCAACATCTTAAACTAATAAAGCATCACATTTTCTTTAACAACTAGTTCTACGTAGTATATTGCAAAATAATCATATAAAGTAGTAAAATAAATGCAATAAGTTATGTTAATGGAAAAAATTTTAAGAGCCAGTCAACTGAAAAAAATTCTAGTTAGGAAAAATGTTCATTATCATCTACACTCAATACATGACTGCTCGCCTTGCAAACATCTATGAAAGAAATCTGTGGGTCAGAAGCTGTTTTCTGGGAATTGGGCATTAGTAGGCACTCATTTTTAGAAGAGAAAATAAGAAAATAAGTTAGAATGGCCCTGTTTCTTCAAGTCTACACATGGTGCTTCAGATATGCGCTGAAATCTGAATGATACGCAAGAAGATGTGATTTTCAAATCAGTGAAGAATTTTAAAGCCTTGCAAGGTATCCATAATGATGTCATTGTGACACTGGACAAGGGAAATGGCTAGTCCTGGGAATAGTAATACCCGCAAATTCATTGTTTTATTCATTCCACATACACTGATCAACTACCTATCCCATGGCAGATAGTGTGGTAAATGTCATAAAGATGACGAGGATATCAGAATCTAAGAAGACGGCAGACATATAAGAAGGTTTAAATTCCATGGGGATAAATGCTAAAATAGAGATATAGACCAAATTCCGTGAAAAAACAGAAGCTATAGTAAATAATTACCATGATAAAGACAGAGAAAGTTGCAAATGCATATACACAATTAAAATTTCAGCCAGGCATTACAGAATAGGGAGGGGTTTGCCAGTTGGGGTATGTAAGATGTGACAGGAGAATGGAAAGATACTCTGGTCAGATGAACATCTGGTATAAAGGCATGGAGTTGTCAAAGGGGCTGAGTTCAGAGTATGTGGTGAAAAGTTTTGTATAACTGAAGAGACAGCTGAGGTGATAGTTTGGGGGGCAATGCTTAATGGCCTTACAAAGAAAGCTAAATTTTTTTTAATTTAATTTTTTAGAAAAGAAATAACCAATAGAGGTTTATGAGAGGCAGTGAGTGTGGGGGCGTGTCTCATGGTGACATTATAGAGCAGGAAAATCAAAGGCCAGGATCTCAGCCTGCTGAGATAGACAGTGTAAGGGGGATTCTGAGAGTCCAAACCATCGTGGTAGCAACAGGAGGGAAGGGAGGTACAGAAACACGTCAATAGTCCTACTAACCATTTTGGTTGAGCTTTTCTCTTGGAAGGGAAGTTTTTCTGAGACTCTTTACAAAATAAGGGAGGCAGAGGCACTGTACGGAACTACTGCATTAAGAACCAGGTATATTCTGTCTGGCAAGGACATAAAAAATTATTGTTTTCTATTTCTGACACCACATTTCAGTTTTTAAAAATAATTCCTCCAGTAGATGGTTTGGCAGTTGAATCATGTTAACAACCTAGGAGATGGGATCTGTGTCTTAGGCATTTCTACCACTCCATGGTACCACCAAAATGCTTTGTTTGTGAATCAAGAGTCAGTTCTTTACATATGAAAGTTATTCACTTGAATTTAACATCAATGTATAAACACTTGAAGTTCTGGGAACACTTACTCTGCAATAATCCAAAGTGGCAACATATTCATAAGATCCTAGAGATAACTCTGGTTTCTCATAGTGGTCCAGTCTTCTTCCAATGTGGTCCAGATGTTGGAAATAGAATGGTGGAACTAATAAAAACAAAATAGGAAAGAAAATATTTTGTTTTCATAAACACAGACAATTTAGTAAGTTCTCAAAATTTATTATGAGAGGAAAGGAGTTAGTATCTGGAAAAATGTATTTTAAAGCTGGAATGTAGTATACCGTAAATACCTACTATTTTAAAAACATGTCTTGGAAAAGAGGAGGGTTCTTATTCTATAAGTTATTGATGACAAAGAACATTTATGATTTAGACCATCCTAGAGAAACAGGGTATAAAAGTATTGGTGTTTTTAAGTTGTCACAACCCAAATTCAATTGTCCCCATTTTATTACCTCTTTTAAAAAGAATTCTGACTTTTCTAACTATTTGAATTTTTAATATACCTAACAGAAATAAACATTCGTTATTTGAACTATACTATGAACTACAATATTTATTATGCTTTAATTAAGAGATGTCTTCACCCATGTGGAGTTTGCATGGTAATCTTTTAATGTTTGCGCTTAAGAGTGGAGAGGATTACTGTATTAGGGAAAGACTACACCACTAAGATCTCAGCTAAGGAACTTTAATTTGATTCAAATGTCTAAGAAGGTTAGTTCTGGCAAAGATCTGGAAGTCATCCAATAGCACAGGAACACTTATGAGTCACATACTGAGCACTTGGACAAATATGGCCTGGTATCTCTGTAAAAACGAACTCCTGTTGCCTTGAGATTAATAGGGCTGGCTACTAAACCACTGCCAATAAAAGTATTTAGAAAAACTACCAATGCTCTGGTTTTAAACTTTTTGTAAAGAACAACATTGCCATTTGTAAAAACCATACAAATAATGCTTCTTGTTTTTAAGCCAACAATTTGGCATTATTTATTGTTAGCTGTGAAACTGACATAAGAATAACAAGACTGTTTTCTGAGGTTGTTCTTTTTTTAAAAAAAAAACCCACTGAGGCTTGATTGTTCTACGTTGTTACTGTATCATGGCCATTTCTTTTAAAGTAAATTTTATAAGGTTCTTATGCACATATGGATCTCTGAATTTGGAAGATTCAACTTCTTGAAAAGATTACATAAGTAGCAACTGACAGGCTCAGCTGAGGTAAGTAAACTTTGAGGGTCTTAAATTGCTATTTTGTTACATTTAGATGAGATGGAGGATGCTGCCTCGGCTATCTTAGAATGCATAGTACAGTAGTTTCCACATAGTATAACATACAATTCATTCACATCTACACACAGAAATGTAATATGTGAAATGTTTTCCCTTTAAATTTTATTTTATATTCATTAGCATTTAATATTGTCTATCATCTTTTGTAAGCCAACATTCAACTCATACCATAAATCATGTACTACCCTTTGGCCCCTGTCTTCCTGCATGTCTCTGACCACACATACTCCCCACTGGACAATCTCTGGACACTTTGCAAGGAAATAAGAGTGGAATCACTAAAGCAAGCCTGCTGGGTTCTTTCTAACTCCAACAAACCTCTGTCTTTGTTAAACCTAAAAGAAGACAGGTGTCAGCATACATCTATGGGAGTCTGGCTTCCTTGTAGGGACACATATTTAAGCCTAGTGTGAATAATTCTATTGGAAAATAAACATGGCAGCTTCCTAGGAATGGATACCTGAGGGAACATAATCTGCTGTGTTGAGACACAAGAATTCTGAGTCGTTTTTCTCTTCCTGGAAGTGGCTGGGCCTTTTAAGGCCCTGAGCCGACACTTTGGGTAGGAGGCCAAAGAGTCACAGCAAACTGAAGATCCTTGCTGCTCTTCATGGTGGGTATGATTTTGGTCACCTTTCTAAGAAAGCTGGGGGCTTGGGTGAAGACATCTGAGGAGCTGGTGGGCTCGCTGGAGGACTTTGTCCAAATGCTTTGGGAGAAGCCTCTGTCCCTTCTCAGGATTTTTTCCTCTAAAACTAAAGCACAGAGAAATGAATTGTCACAGGGTTCCTGAAATCCAGGTCCCAAGACTGAATGATAGCCATGAATTTGGTTGCAGATTTCATTCAGGTTGAGAGAGGAAACAAGATCTTCCTTAGAAAGAGAAGTGAGGGTAGAGAACTAACAATCTGGTCTCAATGGGATATCCAATTTGCCCTGAGTGGAAACCATAGTTAATGTAAGGAGAGAGACGTACCAAGAGGCTTAGGCCATAGGCTGGGATGAGTCTAGAAGCCAATGATTCAACTCCACAGCAAGGTGCGTTTAAGAACTGACCAAAGGTCTGCATGAGAAGCACTCGCAAGGCCAGTCTCTGGCGCCCTAAGTTGGGTAAAGCCATGGACTGTGTGTGTGCGAGATAAGGTGGCAGGGAAATAAGAAGGCAAGCAACGCTCTCCCACCAGAGAATGCTCACAGAGCCAAGATGCCATGAATGTAATGATGTAGGAGGAATACTGTCCCCAGCTCAGTCAGCATTAGGGAGTAGTCAGCACCCGTGGGTAGAACCATGTGTTCACAGGCAGACAGTGCTATATGTTCTTCAGATCTAATTACCTGCAGGGAAGCCTGTCTACAAAGATAAGAAACAGAGAAGAAAACTCATACTCTAGTAATCATCACATGGTTCAAAAAATGTCAATGAATATGGGAATGTTCTCAGCCTCAGTATGTACCTCATTTAACAACAAATAATTAAAAATATATAGACATGTTATAAATGTAATAAATGTGAAAACACTTTCAGCAACTTAGCAGTTTTCTTCAAAATCAGTAAATTCGTACTGGAATAAAACAAAATATAATGAATACGGGAAAGCCCTTTTTAATAATGTTCCTTCCTCCTTAAACAATCCAACATTTACATCGGAGTGAAAAAAAAAATCTATATAAGTGTTAAAGCCCTTGGTTATACCTAAGCTTTTCCTAAGTATCAATGAGCTGATTTTCAAGAATAACCTTGAGAAGTGACAAAAGAGGAAAAGTCTCCCAAGTTTATCATCTGTAATCATAAGAGGTAAAAATCTTATTTTGTTTCCCACTGAGGCTTTGTGGAAGGGGATTAAGAAATAAAATTTTTCCCCCTACATTTGAGTTTTTTAAGAAACATTTCAACTTCCATGTGGGGCTCATGTAGTTACCTAAGGTTAAAAGGGGCTTAAATTTCCCAAATAGAGCCTGTCATAGTTGGTTTCCTTCTAGAAAATTATAAAGAAGGTACTGCTATATAGCAGAAAAAAGAATGTATGCTTCTCCTAAACTAAGAAGTATAATACATTTTAGTTAATAAAGAATTTCACAAAGAGCTTTTAATGGCACTGCTTACCATCATTCACACAGTTGCAAAATCCACACTGATATCTCCTTCCTCCTTCGATGAACTGCATAAATGGGCACATGTAGGCCTTGCACCTGTTGCATCTGACTGGTCCACTCTCGCCGTGATTTACCAAGTAAAGGGGACTCTATGGAGAAGCAAGAAAAATTAAATGAACAGGTGAGTATAGGATTTCTAGGTACTATAATTTGGGAAGTCTTTTAATGGCACTTTTTTTTTTTTTTTTTTGAGACAGAGTCTTGCTCTGTCACTCAGGCTAGAGTGCAATGGCATGATGTTTGCCCACTGCAACCTCCACCTACAGGGTTCAAGCGATTCTCCTGCCTCAGCCTCCCGAGTGGCTGTGATTATAGGTGCCTGCCACCAAGCCTGGCTAATTTTTGTATTTTTAGTAGAGACGAGGTTTCGCCATGTTGGCCAGGCTGGTCTCGAACTCCTGACTGCAGGTGATCCACCCACCCTGGCCTCCCAAAGTGCTGGGATTACAGGCGTAAGCCACTGTGCCTGGCCTAGTGGCAATTTTTAAGGAACTCAACTCTTAGCTTTTGCCCCAGGACAGTAAAGATGTCTTTATTGATAACACATGAATTCAAAGCCATAAGATGTTGTCCAGAATACCCAAACAAAAGTTAATTTATCTCACTTATAAGGATATATCAATATATGTATATTTATGTCTATCTGCATATGCATATTTGCCAATATGTGTGTGGAGAGAGAACATATAGTGATGGTAATAATACCTACTTATACTTACGTTAAAAACATTCTAGACAACTTGTGTCACCTATTTTGCTAAGTTTCTTCATAGATTATAAATAAAGAGAGTTGGGCCTGATTTAAAAAGTTCTAGTTTGCATAGCAGTATGCTGTCTATGTAGTTCCCCCAAAGCACATAAACTATTTCTTCAAAAATGCAGCTATTTGAAGAAATATGCAATAATGTTCATTTATTTAGGCAAGGCGGTCGATTCTACCTTTTCTGTTAGTTTATCAGAAAAAAACGTTTCACAGAATACTCACAGTGTAGCTGGCCATGCTTTGCCAGAACTGAAAAAATAAATCATTCAATTGCTTCTTCCTCATAAACATACATAGAAAGCATGATACATCTTTTACAGTTTAAAAGTAAAAAAGTTCAGCATTAAGTCTGCCTTCCCAACTCTTCTGGCTTTCGGGAGAAAACCACAGAGATACTTGTTTTTGTAAATCTCCTTAAAGATAACATTTAAAGAAAAGCTTGAGAATTGCAGGCTTTGGCATGTCAATTAAATTTTTCTTTACTGAAAAAGATACAAATAAAGCAGACTGCTTTTGAACGGAGGCCTGAAGAGCAGGAGGTCAGTGGGGTAGGGGCATCAGGCCGTTTTCTGCTTCAGTCTTAGAAAACCGAGATCCCCCATTGTCCCTGCCCAGATGTTCAAAGTGAAAGCTGAGGTTTCAGAAATCATTTGGGAGGTCTCAGAGCAGAAAAAAACAGGTTTATTAACACAATACTCAAAAGAATCGGGGAAGGATTTAAATTTTTTCTTTAATCATTCCCCTCTATTTCTGCAATGCCCTCTTCCCCGCATCTTGCCTCAAGAAAGCCAGAAGACAGATTGGATTTTCTTGTTTATGGTCGCTTCTGATCCACAGCATGGGCCTGGCTCTGGTGCCCCACTGGTAGGGGTTGTGACAA